>NC_000010.11:2585757-2737272 GCF_000001405.40 Homo sapiens | reverse complement strand
ATCTCATTAAAAAAAGTAATTTTGGAATTTTACCCTAGTAATCACAGGGATTTCAAAAAGTATAGGCCATATTAGAGCTAATAGAAAATGCTGTGTTTTCTAATATTTATACCAATTATTCCACACAATGTATTTATTATAATTATTTCATGGACATTAACAAAAAGATTGTATACTCTCCAGATATGTGAGTCCTTCCCTGCAGTGTCCTCTTTCGCCTCAGTTTTGCTCATTTAATTTATTTTCGTTTTTTTCTTTTTCCTTTTTTTCTTTTTAAAGTTTCATTTTCTCCCTTATAACATATAGCCTTTGCATTCAAACATCTTTGCTTTACTTATTACCATTTTTTTTTGCTACACTTCTTACAAATTCTGAACCACACTGAACTGCTGAGCTACATGACTGTACACATTGGAGCAGGTTGTTGATCGCAGGGTCAATGTCTCCCCTACTTCAGATTAGGTTTGTGGGGTGCTCCATCCCCTCGAGCCCCTCTTCCTCCAGTCAGCTACAGGTTTGTGCCAGAGCTCCTCCATCAGTCAGTTGCAGAAAGAAATTCCATAGCCACTCCCTCCTTCAGTCAGGTGTCCTTGGGCAGGCCACAACCTGCTCAACTGTACATGAGCAGCTCCATAAGTGGCGAACTTCCTGGATCCCTGAAAACAATACAGTCCCAGATAAAGAGTGTGTCACTGATTTATGAACTTTGGGCTAGTACAGCATGTTAGCATTAGTGATTATCCCTTTCTCTCACTTCATTTTCCTGTCTTCACTGCTGTATTATTCTTTTTTTTTTTTTTTTTCAGACGAAGTCTAGCTCTTGTCCCCCAGGCTGGAGTGCAGTGGTGCGATCTCAGCTCACTGCAACCTCCGCCTCCTGGGTTCAAGCAATTCTCCTGCCTCAGCCTCCCAAGTAGCTGGGATTACAGGTGCCTGCCACCATGCCTGGCTAACTTTTGTATTTTAAGTAGAGACAGGGTTTCACCATGTTGGCCAAGCTTGTCTTGAACTCCTGACCTCAGGTGATCTGCCCACCTCGATCTCCCAAAGTGTTGGGATTACAGGCATGAGCCACCGCGCCCGGCCTCACTGCTGTACTATTCTAGAGAAAAAAGATAAGAGAAGACAGTTGGAGACCTGCAGGCCCACTGCCATTTTTCCTTGCTTTCCCTGTGAAATGGGAGAAATTGTGCAACTAGGGAGGGAGAATGAGTTCCACACGCAGCCTGAATACCACAGCCTTGGAGGCCACTGTTGTTTAGGACTTCTTCTGAGCAGAAATAATAACAACCATAGTGATCACACCTGTTCTCCCTTCTGCACTTTCATGCATTGATCACATTGAGCCACTTAATCCTGGAATCATCCTGTGGGGTTGGGCACCATTGCTGTCTCCATTGTGTAGATGAGATATGGAAGCATCAAATGATTGGTTTGGTCACCATTGCCGTCTCCACTGTGTAGACAAGATATGGAGGCATGAAATGATTGTTTTTCCAAGTTAAGCAGCAGATCAGGATTTGAACCCCAGCAGCCTGGCTCCAGAGTCTGCCAAGAAAAGTAAGAAGCACCAATTCACTGCGTGTCAGGACATTGTCTAGAATTTATCATGAATATTGGGAGGCAAATAGCGGTTTTTGTCCATCTATTGCACGGCTCCACAATCTGTTGTCAGTTTCTCCTCATGGAGCTGGGCTTCTACAAGCGTCATCTCTTAAGCTGATGATCACACACAGGTCACTTGGACGAACACGTTTTCACATAATCAGATAATTTTCGATGATAACGGCTAATAATGACTCTCAGGTGCTGAGTGCTTCTGACACTAAGGTTTTGTGTTGTGTGTTTGATACACATTGTTTTAAATCCTCAGAACACACTACAAAGAAAATATTATTCTCTTGAGAAGAAACTAAAGCACTGGGGATCTTTTAAAACAGCAACTTCCAGCATTACTCCTGGTCAAGTAACGGGCCACAGGCAAGGCTTTTGAAGTCATCTTATAGGAAGGAGAAAGGCAGAACCCTCAAAGAAAGGGCCCTCCTAAGATCCACCCTGAGCTGCGGTTCCACTGATGGACATTGAGGAAAGGACACAGGAGAAAGAGAACAAGATGCAAGAAAGACAGAGAGAGACAGACACACAGAGAGGCACACATACACACATACACAAAAGGAGGCAGAGCAAAAACAAGGGCGAAAGAGCACAACTGTGTTTTTAGAATGCAGGCCACCGTGGGAAAGGCAACCTCTGCTATTTTCCATCAATGCAACAAACAATGAAGGATCGAAGGCTGTCTGAGGATGTCTGGAGGCTGCCCGCACTCATCAGCGGTCGTCAGTGGAGATAAGATAGCTGGCGGTGAGGAACAAATGAGCAGCATGTCATGCACGTGTCTCGAGTAATTAATATCACAGGGACGCGGGGGCTGGCGTTATCTTGCGCCCTGGCTCCTCTCTTTATTTCCTGACTGCGCTATTAAAAAATGAATCACGCACACCTACATAGCATTTTGTCAGGATAATGATAAGCCTTTTTAAAATTACTCACGGCAGCTCTGGGTCAGCCACACAGACGGCCCTAAGTACCACGGTGGAGGAAAAATGTCCTTGTGACGGCTTCGTTGTGCTGGGAGATGGATGGGGCAGAGAGGCGGGTGTGCTTTTTGCAGAAGGTAGCAGTTTCCTGAAAGCAAGAACTGTACCTGATGGGCTAATAGCTTGCATTTTATTTACAGATTCAGTATACTTTTAATTTCTCTTTGATTACATAATACGGCCTCCATTTTACACATCATTTAGTGATATTTTTTTTTTCAGGGAAGCTGTAAGCCACAAGGATTTGCCTAGATCATTTAATTAAATGACTCATTTTGTAAATGACCTATAACAACAACTAAGTTGTTTTTAACCTTGTCTCTGGAAATAAAAAAGCTGTGGAGATATTCTAGACAATTTGAAGAAATTATTTAGATTGCTTATACGTATAAAAATAGTATGTAGGATTTCTCAGTGTGTGGGTCTTTAGAATATCGATTTGCCATTCTTATTTTGAATTCACAATAGGACTGCAAACACATATTTTTGCACAGTAAGATAAGAACTGTAAGGGAGGTGGCTCTATTGGAATGCTCAGTCCTAATTAGAAAAGTACATTTTTATCCACCAAAACTTTGGATTGTTTTCCAAACCAAAATATCAATCACTGTTAGTGTACAAATACAATGTACACTAACACCCCAAATAGCAATGAAAGTAACTAACAGTTACAGACTACACACATAACTATACACATCATCGGTGTGCAAATGAGTGCGTAAAACGTTATCTCGGAATAATTTCCAAACGATTTCCTGTAACTAAGGGTTGTAGATCGATGTCTTCAACCAAGTGGGTCAGGTTCTGGAGCGTTCCTCACCGGCATCGCTGACTCTCTTCCCCCAAAATCCAGCCTGTCAAGCGGAGTCCGCTCACTTCATTTCTCACGGAGGCTGTCTGAGGCCCACGCTCGGTGCCGTGGTGAGAGTGTGGAATAAAAATGACAGGTAGAATTTTAATGTTCTGCCGGAGCTGGGTATGTAAAATCAGACCCAAATTCCAGGCAACTGAGAGAGATCCTAGCACGGCGGCACCAGCATAGAGCTGGGAAAGGAAGGAAGGTATAATGAAGCCAGAGGGTAAAGTGCAGGCCACCCTCGCAGAGGAAGTGGAAATCGTGCCCAGCCCTTTCTCTTTCATTAGCTCCCGCTATTTCTAATTGTCCCAGAAAACGCCTCGAAGCCCCTCTGCGCATGCTGCATCCCGGAGCACCCCTCTCCATGGTCCTGCTTCCTGCATCTGTCACAGGCCTCATGCACAGTGGCCCCTCCAGGGCTGCCCCCCATCCCGCTGGGGCTGGCACCTCAGTCCCCTGGTGGGTCTCAGAGGTGCCAGGTCCCTCCCACCTTCAGAGAGTGACCCTTGCAGGTAAACTGAGGCTATTGCTTTCCTACCTGAGGGCAGGTGATGCCGACAGACTCACCTATTTACAGAATAAACTCAAACCCCTTCGGCACTGGTCACCCTCAGCCCGGTGTAGCCGCTGTCCTCTGGGTGTCCTCACCACGCCCGACAGTCTTACATGGCCCTCTGTGGGGACGTCTGTCTCTCTCTCTGGGATGTCGCTTTCCTCAAGTGGGGATGACGCTGGGGGTGGCAGGACACCAGGAAGAGTTCAGTAAACCGGGGGCCTTCAGGAAGCAGGAGATGGGCTGGGATGAAGGGACAGGAAGGGGCAGAGATGAGTTTATAAAGGTGTGGGTGCTGAGCGGAAAGTCTTCCCTGGATGTGTGGCCCCTGAGGGCTGGTCCTTCCCGGAAATAGTGTTATGTTCCCAGCAGGCTCTGAATGTAGACTAGTAGGTGATGCTCCAGCCTCGGAGAAAGGTGTGGAAAAAGCACAGGATACATCCCATTCTGTTCTCAAAAGATAGTCTTTCCTCTCTGATGATCTCTAAACTTAAAATACGCTTTCATGTCGCGGAATTGCTTGGAGATTACCTGCATCTCTTCCGAGTCTTTGATAGCTACCATGCTTTTCCTCAGTGCTCTCTTGAAAGGATTAGGGATTGCATTCTCTTCTACCCTGGTCCCTAATTTCACGCTGCCTGGGCTTTTGCTGAATGCCTTCCTTCTCCTGCACACTAATTGCTTACCTCTTAATAACTGATATTTTATAGAGGTGCCAAGCAAATTATTGGTTAATGTCCATGAAAGGATGCAGTCCTCGATACAAGGTAGTATAAAATGGGGTTTTCACTTGGAATTTGCATCACAACTCGATCTCTGCCCCTTTGTCACCTTAGTATTCCTGTCGCATTCATCATCTCACATAAACACGAATAGCTGGACTTACAGGTGGGCACGGATGCAGTCAGCTTGGGCATTGAGATTTAAGGAGAAGCAGTTTGGTCTCCCAGATCGGCACCTCTACATCCTGCCATTCCTTCATCAGGCGTCTTGTTATTTGGAGCTGTAGTTTTGTTTTGCTTTTTTCTTCATCACAGGCCCACTTGTAGCATACGAATGACTGCTGGGCGGGCTGTGTTTTACATTAAAGCTCTCCTGGCTGAGAGCCCATGCCTCAGCAGTGGTTGGTGTAGCAGCCAGCTGAGTGCCAGGAGCTTAGTCATGGAAGAGCTGCCCAGTGCTCACTGGATGCCCATGCCTCCCCCCACACCCAGCTCCAGTCAACTTGCACTTGGGCAGGAACCTGCTACTAATTCTGGCCAGTGGGCATGAGCAGAAATCGTGCATGGGACAGAGTAGAGATGCTCTTGTGGGCCTGACTGGGCAATGGCATCGCCATCAGCCTGGATCCCTGCAAGAGTGCGTGGAGCAGAGCCCTCCTCATCAACTCCCACTGGAGACACGCTGTGAACATGAAATACACCTTTCTTGTAAATCACTGAGATCTCCCGGTTAATTTGTTAACTTTGAAACAACAAGATAACCTAGAACATTCTGAATAAAAATGTGGATATGAGGGACAGCATGTTGCTGCAAGGGGTGTGCAAAGAAAGTAGATGGCTTTGTCCACATTATCCAAAAATAGCTCTGTGGGTGGTACTTCTCTACTCTGGCCATCCTTGTCTCTCTCTCTCCCTTCCGACTTCCTCCTACCTTCCTTTCTTCCTCTATCTCTCTCATTTGGAGACGATGGATATTAGTTTCTTACCTTCCTTCTTAGCATCCACCCATTCTACTAACTGACGTTTCCTGAATGCCCATCAAATGATGGACACCACGTTAAGGTGGGAAGTGACTTAACATGTTTCACATCTTTAGGAAGCCATCAATATCACAAAAAATCATCAGGAAACCATAAAAAATCCAAATGCAGTGTGTGAAATGCTAATAGATATACATATTAATATAAAATTATGTCAGTGACAAAAATGAGAAAAAAAGACATTTCGGCATCATTTGTGTTATAATATTTCCAATGCAAACAATGAGTTATCTTGAGGGAGAAAAGATTTCTCGGCAAAGGGAAGACCAAGAATGAGATCACCCTCCTTCCCAATGCACACACCCTTCCTTCCTTGCCCTGCAACCTGGAAGGTCCCTTCGGACAACCACAACTTTGCAGGCCTTTCACCCTCCTGGGGCCATGCTCCTTCCCCTCACCTACCTGAGTGAGACTCAGCTCAGACTCCTCCTGGGGCTGACCAGCCTGGAGGGGAACATGCAGCCAACCTACAGGTTACGTTGAACATCAGTTGTGTCACCCTCAAGTGACCCTCACCCCCAAAGTGGCATATTTCCCAGCCCCATGCATTTCCACTTTCCTAGGAGAGTTCCACATCTTGGTCTTTCTGTACCTCCATTTCCTGTTTCCTGAGCCCTCTCTCCACTGACAGCCATGCTTCCCATTTCACTGGAAAATAGAAGGAATGAGAGGGGAAATTCCTCCAGCACTTGGCATCAGACCTACCCCACTCCCTGCGTTCCAGACACATCCTGTGATTTCATCCTGAGGCCTGGATGTGCCCTTTCTGCTCCAGGGTAGACCCTCGGCGGATGCCAGAGTCCTTCCTCCTGCCAAATCCAGGACAATGCACGACCTTCTCAGCACCAGTTTATCTCATCTCATCCATTATTTTAAGAGGAGACAGGGTCTCACTCTATTCCCCAGGCAGGAGTGCAGTGCAATGGTGCAATCTCAGCTCACTGCAGCCTCGACCTCCTGGGCTCAAGTGATCCTCCAATCTCAGCCTCCCAAGTAGCTTGGACTACTGGTTTGCACCACCTTTCCTGGCTAGGTTTTTTATTTTTTTAATTTTATTTTTAGTAGAGATGGGGTCTCGTTATACTGCCCAGGCTGGTTTTGAACTCCTGGGCTAAACCCATTTTCCCGCCTCAGCCTCCCCAGTGCTGGGATTACAGGCATGAGTTACTGCCCTTATCGGACTTCTGTACTTCAGAAATCTGCTGTGTCCTGTTCTTGTTGCCCTGCCCTCTCCCTGTTCTTAGTGCTGATGTGGATGAGTTGTTTCGTTCGTGGGTGATCATTGGGTATGCATGGGTGCATGCTATTTTACCACAGCTTGAGCTATTTCATCTACTGCTGGTGGACAGTCTGTGGTCTCTAATTTTTTTCTTTGGTTATTGTAAGGAGCTCCTCCATAAACATGTCTTTGAGCAGAGGCACACTCTCGTCAGATGGAGGCATCGACGTAGAATTGCACACTTTAGATGTATACTTAGAAATGTTGGTACTGATTGCTGAGTTGCCTTGCCCAGAGCCGTCAGTGGTCCAGCCTTCAGGTTCTCAGCTTTGGTGCCTCTAGAATCTATTAGTCCTCACAACTTCTGACAATAAGATTGGCAAAAAAAATCTCAGTTTCGTTTCATTTTGTAATCCCCTTTGTATTGGTTACATGGATCATCTTTCATGTATTTATTGGCTGTTTGTATTTCCTATTCTCATTATGCTTTTTAGACTTTGAATATTTTCTCTCTTTTTTATCCTTTTTTCCTTTGTTTTGTGGGAGCACTTTATACATTATGATGGTTAATTCTTTTTATATGGATTTGCTTCACATAAGCCCACCCGTCTGTACTTCTTGCCTCCCAACTTGCTTGTTGTTATTTGTGATTAAGTTGCAGCATCTTGGCTGAGTTTCTAGTTGATGGGGACACACGGTCACAGGGACACACACACTGCACACACACATGCATGCATACACACATGCACACACACAAACGCTCATGTACACACACATACACATACACTCATGCACACACACACTCATGGTCATAGATGCAAAATCTCAATGGGAGTGCACTGCCTGTTGGTCCAGGATTAGATGCCATGGGGCCCTGGCTACAGCTGCCTAGGTTTTTCAATTCCTCTCCAGGGACAGGTAGTTGCCAGGGAGAATGCAGAAAATAAATGTCTACTTTTCTTTTATACCCTGTGACCAGGGGTAATATCAGGCATGTATTATCTTTCTGAAATGAACCAGGCAACTTGATTTTTTTTTTCCCCTGGAATATGTCAAAGAGGCCGAGGGAGCAGGTGACTTTTTCGGTCTTGCAATCTGCCAGCCAATCCATCAGCAGACTTGGGAGAAAGGTGCTCATGAGTGTTTTGGACCCTTGGGTTTAAGGGTGGTCCATGGGCCAGCAATAGTAGACTGAGAGAGGATGCAACCCTGGAGGAGGAAAGCAGGGAAGAGGCGACAGATGTGTCTCGGGGAGGGAGGGTTGCCGACAAGACCCTGGACCTCTGGGGACGTCAGGAGACCCCTGGATTAGCCCAAGCATTGAGGGGACAGGCACGAGTGTGGAGCAGGTAAGGTGCTAAACAGTCTTCTTTTTCCAGTTTCACTTAGGGTTAGATTTAGCTAGAAGCAAACTTCAGGGAAGAACATACTGTGAACCAAAGGTAAAGCTAATTTTACTGCTGACTTTATTATTATTCTGAAGTATTTCCTCAGATATTGCAAATAACTCATAAAGTTCCCTTTTTTTGCCCTCAGGCTTAACCCATAGTAATCATCACTTCTTAACTGCTCTGGACAGAACGAAACCGAAATGTAATTTATTTTAAGAATATAATCACTTATTGATTACTCTTTTTCTCAAGGAGATAGAATCAGTGTATAAGCCTTTATCTAAGAAAGCCCAGGAAGGTTTTCATTCTCTGTATTTAGTTCAAATTCATTCAAACCTTCCTTATAAAGCCAGCATTTCTGGCATCGTGTTGCAGATAATCATTATTTTTAAAAAGGATTCATCATGCTGCTTATGTGAAAAATTCACCGTAGGCAGACAATATTTAATAAGTAAATCAATAATGTTCATTTCAGGGAAAAAATAGGTATAGAATATAGCTGGAGAAGATAATAAAACAAGATCAAATACTAAATCTCAGAACTGATGAACCATTAGGGATAATGCAATTCACTGCAGTGCCGGCTGCAGCGTTATTAGAAAGCTTACATCATAAAATGCTGTGTAAATGCAAATTCAACCTAATTTGTCATATGATTAAAACCCAAGGAAAAAGAAGTCTCGTTGTAAGCGAATGCAACATTTTCTACTTTAGTGAAGCGTCATTGGGAAGAGAACTCCCTTGGCTCAGGGAGCTTTGCTGGTAAGTACATGACCATTTGCAGAGAGGTTTCCTTGCTAAGAGGACCAAGCATATGATCCATGAGCTCTTCTAAGTATTTATGACAAAAACTAATTAAAGATCTTAAAATTGGGAGGGAATCTAGGAGGCCAAGGCGGGCAGATCATGAGGTCAGGAGTTCGAGATCAGTCTGACCAACACTATGAAACCTCATCTCTACTAAAAATACAAAAATTAGCCGGGCATGCCTGTAATCCCAGCTACTCAGGAGGCTGAGGCAGGAGAATCACTTGAACCTGGGAGGTGGAAGTTGCAGTGAGCTGAGATCGTATCTTGCACTCCAGCCTGGGAGGGACCCTTGATATCTTCTATGTCCACCTCTCATTGCCCCTTGCAAAGGCACCACCTAAGAAATTGATGAAGGAAGATCAGCTTGCTTCTTGAACAGAAAGACCGAACTGCTGCTTCAAAGCTGATATTTTCCAAATAGTTTGGGTTTTGTGGATCTGAACCGCAGAGATTTCTCAAAGAACTTAAATAGAACTACCATTCAATCCAGCAATCCCACTACTTGGAATCTATCCAAAGGAAAAGAAATCCTTCTATTAAAAAGAGACCTGCACGTGTACATTTATCACAGCAGTATTCCCAATCGTGAAAATGCAGAATCAACACAAGTGTCCATGAATGAATGAATGAATGAGTGAATGGATGAGTGAATAGGGAAAATGTGGCATAAATACATAATGAACTACTAATCAGCCATAAAAACAGAACGAAATTCTGTCATTTGCAGCAACATGGGTGAACCGGGAGGTCATTATATTAAAATAAGCTAGCTCCAGAAACACAGATATCTCATGTCCTCACTCATATGTGAGAACTAAAAAAGTTGATCTCGTGGAAATAGTGAACAGAACGGTGGTTACCAGACACTGGTAAGTGTGGGGTCAGAGAAGAGTAGAGGCTGGTGAATGGGTACAAACATTCAGTTAGATGGGAGGAATACGTTCTGGTGTTCAATAGCATAGTAGGGTGACTATCGTTAACAATAATGTACTGCATACACCAAAATATCCAGAAGATAATATTCGAAATGATTATAACACAAACAAATGCTGTTTGAGGTGATGGATACTCTAAATATCCTAATTTGATTCACATTTTATCACAATATGGAAATATCATATGCAGCCTTTAATATGAACAATTGTTATGTATCATTAAAAAAGAAAAAAAGGAAAGTAGGGACTGGAAAGGTCATCTCTGAAATCTCTTGCAGGGTTGATATTCTGTGACTTTGACCTTTCCTGAGCAGAGGTCAAGTTATACTACCTCAAATTATGTTTCAAGTTTTGCATGCAAGTCCTAGTCAAGTCATAGCCCAGAGGTCCTCTGGTGTTGTCTGACCTTTAGGATATAGTTCACATGGTTGATAACTGCATGATAAGATCAGTGCTTTTAGGTGATCTGTTCCCCACCCCTTTTCTTTGCAGAACCAAGTTGTTCCTGTTGGGCTTTAATGTCAAAGCAATGCAGTCTAGCCACTTGGAGCCAAGGGTCCTAGACTCAGACTCTTGAATTCTCCAAATAGTAAGCATTCAGAGGAAACTCTCCAATTAGATTTCTCTGCTACAAATTACTAACAACAATTGCTGCCACTATAGCAAGGCTGACTTCATTCTGCACCACTTTCAGCAGGTGACGGTTAATCACGACCTTCCTGGATTGTGGAATAAAAAGAGAAGAGCTCTCATATCCATGAAAAAGAACTTGAATCCATCTCAACTTACATCCTTCAAAATTGTCTGAAATCTCTTCTTCGCTCATGCATCCTCATAAAGATGGTTAGTTGTGATAATCATGCTTTCTGGACCCCAAATTAAGATGCTGATTTGACTAGAGCAGGATTTTCGTGCTTATTTTTTGATAAAAGAAATAATGTGGAAGAAAAATATTAAGTACATTAAATACAGGGTAATTGGTGGTTGTAAGGAAGTAATACAGCATATGACTTGAAATCAAAGCTGTTTTGGAATATAAGGCATATATAGGACATATACTTTATATGAACATAGGAGACACCCACATATGCCTTCTGTGAACATGAACATAGAATATAGGTGCACTCTGCCTCTGGGGTAACTGAGGTTACTAATGATATTCTATTCTAGTTACTCTGGTAATTTCCATTGTCACACATTCCATACCTCCAGGGGAATCCAAATGGCATATACATAAATGCAAGTAGATGATAAAGAAATCTGAATCATGTGTCTGCTTTGTGGGCAATACTCAGCTTTTACATGCCTTTGGAAATGATCATTTTCCAATGGTTTAAGTCAGTGGCTCTTAACCTGGAGAGCTTAGAAGACCACAGCTGTCTAATTTTCAACTGGGGATTATGGGGTTTAATCTGCCTGCCTGGCAATTTTTAGAGCTTCCAAGGTAATTTTTATGTGTAGACAAAGTCCAGAGTTGCTCTTCTGTGTGAAATAAAGATAGAGTTCTGTCTCTTGAAAACACTCAGTAGTCTCTTCACAAACACAGCCCCATAAAAACCTAATGAAAAAGAGAAGAAAAGATAGGGTTGACTTCACTGAAGTTCCGTACACCCACGGCAGAGTTTCTGATGGGACTCTGTGTTTTACTTTTTGAGGATATAAGCATTTGCTATGTTTTAAGGATGATTCATCTGCTATACTCTACTCTGGAGATGTATGGTTTCTTCTTACACTGTTGGTGGGAGTGTAAATTATTTCCACCATTGTGGAAGACAGTGTGGTGATTCCTCAGGATCTAGAATCAGAGATACCATTCAACCCAGCAATCCCATTACTGTTTATATACCGAAAAGATTATAAATCATTCTACTATAAAGACACATGAACTCATATGTTTATTGCAGCACTATTTACAATAGCAAAGACTTGGAACTAACCAAAATGTCCATCAGTGATAGACTGGATAAAAAAAATGTGGCACATATACACCATGGAATACCATGCAGCCATAAAAAAGAATGAGTTCATGTCTTCTGCAGTGACATGGATAAAGCTGGAAGCCATCATTCTCAGCAAACTAACGCAGGAACAGAAAACCAAACACTGCATGTTCTCACTCATAAGTTAGAATTGAATAATGAGAACACATGGACACAGGGAGGAGAACATCACACACTGGGGCCTATTGGGAGGTGGGCGGTAAGGGGAGGGAGAGCATTAGGACAAATAGCTAATGCATGCGGGGCTTCAAACCTAGATGTTGGGTTGATAGGTGCAGCAAACCACCATGGCACATGTATACCTGTGTAACAAACCTGCACGTTCTGCACATGTATCCCATAACTTAAAGTAAAATAAAATAAAGAGAATTTTAATTGCTCAACTTTTTCTAGATCTTGTAGAAGGAATCCCTTTTTAGCCTATTCAAGTGGAAACAGAAACATGTCAATAAGGTGGCTGGCCTAACTGCAGAGCATTTTATAGGAAATAAGCAATTCATGCTGGTGAATGTTGTAATGATGGGCATGTCTTACCTGAGCCAGAGCTGTGGTTGCAATGAAAAATAAACTAAAGTTTACATGCGTCTCTTCTTCCAGGACCAAAAAATGTTAAGAAATTAGTTGTTCAGATTTGTCTAAGACTTTGATTTATATATCAGTTGTGTAGCGCACAAATATTTAAAGTATGAAAAAAATCCCCTGAACTGGAATCCTAGTCATCAAATCTCCTAGGTTACTGGACTCTGGGAGATAGATAAATATGCATTTACATTTGTCTACATTATACACATTCACATGCACACATTGGGTAGCTAGAAAAAGCTACCTATGACCAAAAACTCAATCATCTCACCATGTACTGTTTTCATATGGAACATGTATCACATTTAATATGATACATGTGGCCGAGCGCGGAGGCTCACGCCTGTATTCCCAGCACTTTGGGAGGTCGAGGTGGGCAGATCATGAGGTCAAGAGATTGAGACCATCCTGGCCAACATAGTGAAACCCCATCTCTACTAAAAATACCAAAATTAACTAGGCGTGGTCTTGGGCGCCTGTAGTCCCAGCTACTCAGGAGGCTGAGGCAGGAGAATTGCTTGAACCCAGGAGGCGGAGGTTGCAGTGAGCCGAGATCGTGCCACTGCACTCCAGCTGGTGACAAGGTGAGACTCCTTCTCAATATATATATACATATAGTACATGTATTACTTACTTATGTCACTGGGTTTCTGCTTCCTCATAAGGATGTGAGCTCTGTGAAGGAAGGGGTTGTCTGTTTGCTCGTTAGAGCAGTTGCTGGCATAGAGTATGCTCTCAATAAATAATTGCCATTGACTGAATATTAGAAAGCCCGAAAAGCAATTTGTGAGGATTTTGCTGGAGGCCTGGCACGATTGTCCAGTCTCAATTGCTTTGTTCACAGAAGGGTGTGGCTGAATTGCTGTGATATTTAGGGTCAGCAAGCCTGGCCCTATGGTTTATCTACCACATACTGCATGAATTCAGCTAATCAAAACCTCATCTGGAAGGCAGTGTAGGATGAGTACAATAATAATAGATTTTTGCATTTCACAGGGCATTTTTTGGGGCAAATGGGCTGATTTGTTGGTTGTTGCTTTGTGATTTTTCGAGAACTTTATTAAAGTGGCCTGTGGACTGCTGTTGCTGTGGTAAAGCTACTCCTAGAGAATGGCAGTGCCCCAGGACACACAGTAACCCTCAGGGCCAGTAAGAGAGGAAATCGTCTATACATTTTAATCCCGCGTATCTTGTTCCTGCCGCATTCCACTTACCACCTGTTCCAGGCTCACTCAGGGCTCATCCTTCACTGGGGCAGGCGTGCAGGAAAAGCACTGGGTGTAGACGCATTAACAGCACTGACAGCTTATGTTCAAGGTGTCGGCCATGGCATCTCTTATTCCATACACTGGGAGCATTTTGAAGAGCAGGGAAAATGAGTTATTTTCTCCAGCCACGTCTCGTACAATGGCCTTGTGAAGGAATGTGGGGGCCCAGCTGCTCAATCCATGTTCACTGAATCAAACTGAGCCATTGTCCATTCACCATTTTTGATTTCTTAATATTGGCAAGAAAGCTTTTATTCTGTGCCCAATTCCCCTCAGGTTTCCTTGAAATACTCACACAATGAAATAAAATAAAATCAAATAGAATAAAATAAAGTATTCACCCTTATAGATATGTGTTAAGAGGGCCTCAAGAGCACACAACACAGGCTTAATGCAGTGGGCTGTTCCATGTAACCCAATGGAGTTCCAGTTTTCACTTTTGATCTTATTTATGTCAATGCCCTGATATTGATGACTCTCAGAAACAATACAATTAGAGAAGGTGATTTTTTTAATACACAAAAGAAAAGCTTGAGGAGCAAGAATGGAATGGGGCAGACAGCGGGGGATAAGGCTGCAAGTTTCTCCTGTATATTAACTCGATAGATGACTTATTGGGTTGAAAAAAGATCCTCAAACGTTAAAAATTCTGTATAACCCCAGTTTCACTGAAACCTAAAATTTTTTGATACTTTTCTAGAAAATTAACTGATTCTCTGATTTGAGCTCAAAACTGAGTGAGATGCAGACACAAACTATAAGAAGACTTAAAAAAATTACCCATTTATTCATCCGTGCAATAAATTTCAATGTAATTTTCATGAGGTTGTCTTTTTAGGTGTGGATGGTAAAACCATGTTCTCTAGAGTTAGAAAGAGCTGGACATGAATCCTGGCTTTATTACACATCGGCTGTATAATTTTAGGTCTGTTACTTAACTTCTCTGAGCCTCCACTTCTTCTCTCTTTTTTTTTTTTTTCTTCTTGAGATGGAGTCTCGCTCTGTCACCCAGGCTGGAGTGCAGTGGTGCGATCTCGGCTCACTGCAAGCTCCGCCTCCCGGGTTCATGCCATTCTCCTGCCTCAGCCTCCTGAGTAGCTGAGACTACAGGCACCCACCACCATACCTGGCTAATTTTTTTGTATTTTTAGTAGAGACGGGGTTTCACCGTGTTAGCCAGGATGGTCTCTATCTCCTGACCTCATGATCTGCCCGCCTCGGCCTCCCAAAGTGCTGGGATTACAGGCGTGAGCCACCACTCCTTTCTGTTATAAAAGAGGTAGTATTCCCCCATGAGAGCACATGGACACAGGGAGGGAAACAGCGCACACTAGGGCGTGTTGTGGGGTAGGGGGTGAGGGGCGAGGTGAGGGAACCTAGATGATAGGTCAATAGGTGCAGCAAACCACCATGGCACACATACACCTACGTAACAAACCTGCAAGTTCTGCACATGTATCCTGGAACTTAAAGTAAAATTAAAAATAAATACATAAAAATTTAAAATAGAGATAATGTTCCCTACTAAAAAATGATATATCACTTAACTTTGCAGAAGTAACAAAATCTCCAAATTTCAAGTTTAACAACATTCATTTCTCATATTACATGAGAAATATGGGTTCACTATGGCTCAGCTTTGCATTCTAGGTCTTCCATGCCTTCTCATCTGGGGACTTAGGCTAAAAAAAAAAAAAAGCAGCCCTGACCTAGATCTAGGACAGGCCGGTTTTCTTGATGGAGAAGGAGAAAGAGGTAGAGTCAGTGCACAGAAACTCATGTGGCATGTCCTCCTCATCCCACTGGTGAAAACAAGCCGTGTAACTCAGACCAAAGTCCATGGGGTAGGTATATTCAACTGACCCACAGGGGCAGCTAATATAGTGACTAAGGTAGATTTTGTTGCATAGCAAACTTAACACAAAACCATGCATTTAGTTCCCTACTCTTCAGGTTGCCAAATTGGCTGGACTCAGCTGGGGGGTTCTTCTTCTCCAGGCAAAACTTGGCCAACCTTGGTTCTTGCATATGTATTCAGTTGGTCAGTCTAGCATGTCTGGCTATTTCCATGTGGCCTCACTGAGATTTCTAGTGTTTGGTTGGCTGTCAGATATGACAAGGGATTTACTACACCAGGGGACTATCATCACCCTGGAAGCTGGCTTGGGCTTCTTCTTTTGGGAACAGAGTTTAAACAGCAACAAAAGGCAGCCCCAAAGCTCAAGTCCCTTTCACATCTCTGCTTGGGTGGTTCTTGCTATTGCTCAATTAAGCGGGGAAGTCACATGGTTCATCCCAGAGGAACTGTGGGAAATGATGGGAGGAGCTGCTAGACCCACTGTAGATGGCTATAAACAGATGGAAACCAAATATCTTCTGGCCACTCATTACAATCAACTATACATGGTAATGGGATATAAAGTCCTCTTAGAAAGTCATTGAATATTTAAGAAATATATTATAATCTACCATTGCCTTCTTGATCACAGATATTTACTTCCTTTCCACTTGCAAATTAAATGCACTCCTCCAAAGGAAGAAACCCCAAAAGTCACATTAAATTAAAAGTCAGTGTCTGGCTTAAAACCCAGATCTCATGTTGATAACTGCACTGGGTTCAGATGTGGCTCTGCTTGATCTGAGGACCCATAAACTACATAGACAAGTTCTGTGCATCCTCTTTCTTACCTGTGACCCAGCACACAGTGACGTAATACAGCCAGAATAACCACAATAGATGCTCATTCAGAGGGGGAAAGAGTGGAACCACTGTAGTTACTGCTCCACAGAAACTTCATGAATTCCTGATGGGAAAATGTTGAAGGCTTTGCTCCTTGATACTGGAGCACTCTGGAGAATGTTCCTTGTGGAGGCCCAGCTGTCATCGTTCTGCTTGTGCACATCTGAGGGGCATGTTGGAGAACAGGCCTTATGTGGGTGCTGAGAGGATTTATTCACCTGATTTAGAGCTCAGACAGCAGCAGTGTGGTTTAATCAAGGATGACCATGTTTTTGTCAGTGCGACTCTGTCTTTCAATTTGTTCAATTCTAGTCAGCTTTATGTGCTAATGTCTGCCATCACAGTTCTTTCCAATAATTCTTTCTGACTCTATCTCTCTCCCCTGAATTATAGTTTTCTTGACTTTATCAGACTTCCAAAGACTGTAATGCTTGAGCTGCCTTTTTCCAGTGGAAAGTACTTCCTGAGGACCACCTCAAACAAAGATGCTTAAACAAAGATACAAGAGCTAGACCCTTGAATTGCTCTTTGCTTTAATCTTGTGTCTGTATTTGAATCTTAGCCAGACTTTTTGACTCGAAAAATTCCCAAATTCATTTAATTTTATTTTCTTATTGGAGATAACAAATAATTTCATTTTCCAATTATGAAATTCCCAGTATTTCCAAATAGTCTAATTTCTTTTCCATGTATCTCTTCTTGCAAATAGGCTTCTTCTTTTCTGAGCTCATATTTCTTGGAGTACCTTAACTACTATGGCTGATATAGACCAATTGTAGCAATAATATTCTCTTTTTAAAATCTCTTCAACCAAATCCATAAGTCAATTGGGTATAGTGTCTACCTTCCTGGTTAGCACCCACAATTTTACCAAATGTTTTTCTGTTGCCTGGTTATCAGTGTTTAGGTTCTAATAATAGTTTCTTTGCCGCCTTTTGTCTGGCCCTGAAGCCAATCTCAACATTTTAGCTTCTCTGTTTTATCAGTATCCTATTCATAATACCAAATTTTTACATTAAGTTGCTTTCCTCTGGTATCAAACAACACCTAAATCTTGGTGGCATTCAACAACATCTATATGTATTTATCACTCACTTTACATGGGGGCCATGGGTTGGCCATGGGTCTGCTTCAGACAAAGGCTCTGCCCCGGCTCACTGGTGGATTGCTCTAAATTGTGGGTCTGTTCCCAGCTCTTGTGGGGCTCTGGCACTTCAGGAAAGGAGCATTCTGATCCGAATCTCACCCATCTTGTGGCAGGGAGGCAGAAGAGGAGAGAGGCCAAGTAAGCCAGGCCATTATGTGGACGTCTTCTACATGAGCAGAATTTATATAACACCCGACCCTCTTCCAATGACCAAACTAGTCATGTGGCCCAAGTGCTGCATCTGTGTGGCAGATCTTCTCTCCTAAAGACAGCAAGTGAACCACAGGATCAAGAATGGGACAGATGTCCCTATTATAGGGACAAGAGGGGAGGAAAATAATAAAAAATTGAGAGAATTCAACTGTACCATTTTTTTAGTGTATCATTTAAAGAACTTTCACAAACTGAACAACATTTGTAACCAGCCCCTAGAGCAAGACAAAGATTATTATCAGCCAAAAAGCATTTCTTATGTCCCTTTCCAGGCATGCCCACCGCAAGGCACCTCACCACCACCTAATATCTAACGGATGGAGTAACGATGTCCATATTCCTGTTTTTGTAAACGGAGCTACAGTATGCACCCTTCTGCACTGGTTTCTCTGGACCCTCCTGTGAGTGTCATTCTCTGTGCCCAGGAAGTGGCAGAGTATTCATGCTTACCACTTCATACTATTCCATTGCGTGCACGTACCACAATGTAGAGATCTATGTTACTATGGATGAGCACTGGGGGGTTGGGATTTAAGAGTTGCCTGGTACATATGTAGTGGCTTCATAATAAATTTTAGTCTCCTGTCTGCTTCCTCTCCTGTACTAGCTTTTGTGGCTAAAATCATAACCAAATGCCTTATGTCAATTCTAGACCCAAGATGAATGAGTGTCAGAGGCTGAAGAAGGACTCTGAGTCCACATTAGGCTGCAAGGTAAGTGGTGCCGTCATGGATAGCCTAATGCATCAGCATGTCCCTAGTGGGGCTCTAGCTGGGAGCATGGTGGGCAGGGTGGAGCCACAGCCTCACCTGCTGGATCCTGTATCCAATCAGTGTAGTGAAACCAATCGTCAGGTTCAGGGTTTCACCTTAGAATCAGAGGAAAGCACATGCTGTTGCAAGGAAGATACAAAACGTTAGTTATTTCTTAACTTTCTTTCTCTTTTCCAACCTTGTAGCCACTTAATATCTTCTTCCAGATATATTTGATGCCAGAAGGAGCAGCCTTTTCATCTTCATGTTTTTAATTTTAAAAAATCTACTGGTCTTACGCTCAATAATTCTAATAAAAAAGTGTCTACTCTTTCTGAATTTAGTAGAAACCTGGGATTATAACTTATTTGTTTATATATCATTCAAAACTAATTTCCAGAGTGAATTTTTTTTAAATTTTCAGATGGGATGTAATTTTTCCATTCATTCATTCAACAAATAATTATTAAGCCCCTACTATGCATGCTAGGCACTGGTCTAGGCACTGCGATCCACCTAAAAGCTATTCTTTTTTTTTTTTTTTAATTTTACTTTAAGTTCTGGGATACATGTGCAGAACGTGCAGGTTTGTTACACAGGCGTACAGGTGCCATAGTGGTTTGTGGCACCTGACCCAACCTCTAAGTTCCCTCCCCTCAGAGAGGGGAGGAAACTTAAGTAAATATTTATACTGACTTTCTTAGATGCAGGTGAGTACAATCTACCTGGACTGCTTGTTTTAGGCAATGAAAATAAAAATATTATTGTTGGGCTGGGTGCAGTGGCTCACGCCTCTAATACCAGCACTTTGGGAAGACGAGGAGTGCGGATCACGAGGTTAGGAGTTTGAGACCAGCTTGACCAACATGGTTATTCCCCACCACTAAAAAATCAAAAAAAAAAAAACAAAAAAAAAACAAAAATTAGCCAGGCATGGTGGTGCGCACCTGTAATCCCAGCTACTCGGGAGGCTGAGGCAGGAGAATCGCTTGAACCTGGGAGGCAGAGGTTGCAGTGAGCCGAGATTGTGCCGTTGTGCTCCAGCCTGGGCAATAGAATGAGACGCCGGCTCAAAAAGTAATATATACATATATATAAAATAATTACTATTATTGTAGTTACCCCTTTGCTTCCTTAGTGCATGAAAGCAAGTACTACCTGAAAGTATTTTTAGCCAAGTCTTATTTAATGGTCTTCATAGGGCATAGCTCTAACTGCATATTATTAGGGAAGCACCAGGCCAAACTTGTATTTCACTCCCTGGTCTCATCGTCGGTCTTCCCCTCTAGCTAATGTCAACACTAATCAAATCGGATTGTAGCAAGGTCTTTGTCTGCAGTTGTTTCTTCAGAAAACTTTGGAGCTTCAATGTTTTTTGCCTTCCGGACAAGCACAGAAGAAGCATGCCCTTTTTCTTTTGTTTTAAAGCAGGCTAAAATATGTGTTTGCTTCTAAATGATTCTGTCCCTGAAATGCCAAGCGTGAAGTTGCTTCAAAAACCTGATCTGGATCATAGCAAGTATTACGCTACAGTGGAGAAGAATAACACTGATAACAGCAATGGTAATCATTATAATGGCAATTAATATTTATTGAGTGGTTACCGTATTCCAGGCACCAAAGTGACAGAACGCGATGAGTCACGGGCCTCTCCTTCAAGCATCCCAGCCGACGGCAAAGATGAAAACAGTGACAGATCAACGTGGCAAATGTGATGATAAAGATATTCTTGGCATGTTAGAAAAGTGCAGAGGTGGAAGCCCAAACTCAGTTCACTCTAACTTCACCAAAAAAAAGAGATATTTTTGTAATGGTCAACATCATAAGAAAAAGTCAAAAATACATAAACAAAATTGTGTACTTATGAAACAATGTCATGGTCCTTTTGGTTCTGGGAAAATGCAACATGGCAGAAATTCTCTCAATATAAAATAGGAAAAAAGAGGGTCTTTGAGTTTCAAGGAAAAACTGAGTTTAAGTTTTCTCCATGCCACAGACTGCATACAGAGCCTTTTCCTTCTGCATGTACAGCCTACACAGCCCAGTCTCTGCAGATGCAATCTGATTATGTTTATCACAAGTTAACTTCACATTTCTACTTTTTTTTTTTTTTGAGATGGAGTCTCGCTCTGTTGTACAGGCTGGAGTGCAGTGATGCGATCTCGGCTCACTGCAAGCTGAGCCTCCCGGGTTCATGCCATTCTCCTGCCTCAGCCTCCCAAGTGGCTGGGACTACAGGCACCCACCACCACGCCTGGCTAATGTTTTGTATTTTTAGTTGAGGTGGGGTTTCTCTGTGTTAGCCAGGATGGTCTCAATCTCCTGACCTCGTGATCTGCCCTCCTTGGCCTCCCAAAGTGCTGGGATTACAGGCGTGAGCTACAGCGCCCGGCCACATTTCTACTCTTAATATATTTTTATAAGAAATTGAAATTTATGCATATGGCATGACCCTTAAGGTCTCACTAGGACCCTTCATATCAGATGAAGACCCTTAATGTCCTGATGTGTATTAGGCTAGGACTGAGATGTCTGTTTTCCAAGGGATTTATATGCACACATTAGGGACCATTTGCCCTACACACTAGACACTGAAACCACTTGCATGCAGAATTTGATTTCATGTTTGTGTACAATTATTTGTTCTTCATCAGAGAAGTCAGCAATATTGTTCAGTCAAGAGCTAGATGGCAAATATTTTAGGCTTTGACAACCTAGAGGCAAAGTGTAAGGTGCTGTGTAGGAAGATACATATCATTTAAAAGTGTAAAAACAATTTGTAGCTTGCATGTCTATGGAAAATAGAGGCCACACTGGACTGGACGATTGGTCTAAGCCCCAGTGTTACTTCTACAGATTATTATAATCCAAAGTATCATGCATACTATTTATATGGATACTATGTTCTTATATGTATCAGCTTGAAATTATCAACAATTATTTTAAATAACACACTATATTTAATGTCGGAACTATTTGTTTTTCTCCTTTTGGTGGAAAATGTTTTCAATATTTTCCTCAAACATTTAATTTATTCTTATAAAATATTTATAAAACAAGTACAAGTTTGGGCAACGTGTCTGCATGATGGCCATATTTGTTAGTATTCCTTATAGCATTGCTTTAGTGTTATGCAAGAAAATACTTGAAATTGAGAAACTGTGAGGCAGGAGGGTTTGCTGTATTCAACAAAGTGGCAAAATCAATTAGCAGTCTCAATCCTGTTGAGCGTCTCTGTGACTCCTCACCAGCAAAGCCAGTCACCGTCCAGCTGGATCAGCTGGAAGGTTTAAAATTCTTCATGTCCAGATACCAGCATGTTTTAAAACAGCTGACCTTGTACATGCTAGCACAGATATATCTTCCCTCCTTTAGAGGGAGAAGCCTGTATGAGTTGTATTTTCCTTTATTCACATACGTGTGTGTGCATGTGAGCGTATGTGAAATAATCTGAGCACATCAGAAAAAAAACACCCCAAATTAAAAAAGAAGGAAGGTCACAGAATGCAAATGGCATGAGACTCCGTTATCATGTCTGTTGAAGTTCTTTGCTTTTCCTTTTATGCAAATGATTGCCATTCTTCCAGCTATTTGTCAGCATGGGAGGATGTCATTGTTATGGAGATGATCCCTTACCCTACCTGTCTTTCTATCAGTGTAGCTGAGGCTAATTCAGTGCATTGATGTAAGATTATTATGGGGTTGAGCATTTATCTGACAAAATTTATGGTGATGAGTCCAGAACACATTGGATATGCCAGTGCTCCCTGATCATGAGTTTTTATGGCATTCCCATTAGCTGGTGACAGCTGTCAAAAATGTAGTTGTTATCGTTTTATTTACTTCTGACATTTGAAGGTCACTTATAGTTTTAATTAAATTTTTCTTTTGTCAACTCAGAAATACCACTCGATTTAGCTCTCTATTGGTCTTGAAGCTGAAATGGCATTCCAGGAGTCGGTTATTTCAAGATGGCATCCTTAAACTAGTTATTGCAATGATAATGATTATTGAATGCCACAGATATATAGGTGACTATGTATAATAGAGAAATAGATTAAAGGCCCAGCCGCTGGACCTAGCATCTGAATGAGAGGAGCTATTTCCTTCCATTCCCTGTTCCTCTCTAGCCGAGGGGTTGATGAACTGGGACTGAGATCCTTTGGGGTGACGTAGCTGCCAGATTTGCCCCTGCTGTTGGGTGCTTTAGCGAGCTCTTCCAGCTCTGTGATGCCCTCTGTGTTAGTGGGGCAGCTCCTTCCCCTCTGATACTTTCTTCCTCATGCATTGACTAAGAGCATTGAGACACACTAAGAAGTACACGTTTTTGAAACAAATCAAAGCCTGGAAATTGGCGGGGTGCGGTGGCACATTCCTGTAATCCCAGCACTTTTGGAGGCTGAGGAGAGCGGATCACGTGAGGACAGGAGTTCGAGACCAGCTTGGCCAACATGGCTAAACCCCGTCTCTACTAAAAATACAAAAAATAGCCTGGTATGGTGGTGGGCGCCTGTAACCCCAGCTACTTGGGAGGCTGAGGCAGGAGAATCACTTGAACCTGGGAGACAGAGGTTGCAGTGAGCCGAGATCGCACCACTGCATTTCTGCCTGGGTGACAGAGCAAGACTCTGTCTCAAAAAAAAAAAAAAAAAAGAGTCCTGGAAATTAAGACTTTATTGGTCCCAGAGCATTTTGACCTTATGGTTCACAGCAACTGGCATTGGCACAAGTAGCTGGTGCACAGTGGTGGTGTGGACTGCAGGGACTGGTCAAGGAAAATTGTTACCTTAAACAATATTGCAGTTTGTGGCAACTTTGATCACATAGGAATGATTCCTGGTAGCCTTACTGCAAAATGGGCATGGAGCTGGTTAGAGTGCTGATTTTGGGTGGCACTGGCTCATCTTTTCCTAAGCAGGGAACAGAGGCAGAGGCAGAGATTTGACTACAGGGGGTGAAAAAAGGCTTTCCAACTACAGGGCCTTTCAGGGATCAAACAAGATTTGCTAGTTTTAAACTATAAGACCATTGCAATGTTCCCTGTGTTAGTGAGATTTGCCCCACACGGTTTAAGCCAGGGCCAGCTGGTCAGGGACAGAGCTGCTGCCCCCCGCCCATTGCATTCTCCATTATGTGCCAAGGAAGGAGGCGTGGAGGCTTTACATTAGGTTCATGTGCTCAAGTGCTAGTCTCCATCCTGAGCCGCCAGTGGACACTGGATTAGTTAGCTATGGGTGAAGGAGGACACATCCCTAAGGAAGCCACCTTCCTAGTTCTGAGCAATTCCCTGTGAGAGGCTGTGGAAGCCATCATAGCACAAAACTGAAAATGCTGCCTGTGGGGAGCGAGAACCCCCACACTGTTAGAGCCTACTGTCAATCACACATTGGCTCCCTGCCAGATGTGGTAACATGGTGCCCGAATTAACCTCTTGGTAGGACAGCTCTGATTTATTTGATGATCCCAGTTTAGAGACTTGAGACTAACTGTGTTCCAGGTGCTGAAACCAAGATGATTTGCTCTGCCCACATCCTTTCAGGATCCTCTTAAGGGCTAAGTGAAATGAATTAAGCAATGGTGAGATGTTCTCCCCATGAGGCCAACACTCTAGGCATGTCTCCACTGTCTTCCTCACCCCTGCCTCACTGCTTCCTGCTAGGGCAGGAGCATCCACTTGGTGAGTATGGAAGGGATGTAAACATGGATGCTGTTCTCTTCCCCTCTTCCTAGGAATGAGCTGCCTGCAGGAAGGAGCTTCTGTTTCTGCTCCTCAAAGCCACAGGGGCTTCCAGAGCTTCTTGCCTGGGTCCAGAGGAGCCTGAGATGGGTTGATTAAGTCCATCTCATTCCAGAATTAAGTATTAAAAAGTACATTTGTCTACAGGTATGAGGTATATTTTCCATATAAATTTTACATGTTAGACATCCAGCTGTTGATTCCCTTATTGAATAATGGGCTTCAAGTGTGGGCAGAGGAAGGTTAGTTTGCAGCTCTCTTGAGCCCTATAATGTCCCATGAGGACACAGCACTCTTCTTCCCCATTGGAAGCAGCATTCATTATATTCATAATTATTTGATTAATGTCTAGAGCCTACTTAACGAAAGTTCATAAAGGCAGAAATCTTGTCTTAATAAGAATGACAACCACATTTATTGACTGTTACTGCAGGCCACTTACAGGCATACTTTATTGTATTGTATTTTGCTTTATTGAATTTCAGAGATAATTCATATTTTACCAAGTGAAGATTTATGCAGACCCTTCTCCAACATTATGTGCTCACTTTGTCAGCAATTTTTAGCAATACAGTATTTTAAAATTAAGATATGTACTTTTTAAAGGCATAATGGTATTGCACACTTAATTGACTACAGTGTGGTGTAAATATAACTTATATATGCACAAGGAAGCCAAAAAATGTATGTGACTCATTTTATTGTGATATTTACTTTATTGTAGTGTTCTGGAGCCAAACCTGCAATATCTCTGAGATTTGCCTGTAGTCTGTTCATAAGTTTACATTTTTTTAATTTTTTTTTTGTTTTTCCATGTAATGATCCCTCAAAATTTGTGCAGGCAGCACTGCTTCTATTTTGATTGAACGATACAAAGCACTTTGACTCTTCATGTCTTCCCAACTCAGAGGAAGTGGCAGAGCTGAAAAGGAAACATGCACAGTTTGTGATTACCTGAGTGTGTTACACCACCACCTTGCTTTACTTCTTCTCATCCTCCGCTCTACCCATTGTCAGCACACACTTGGAGGACTTTTTCTGAATCAGTGAATCAATGCTAGTGGGTTGGAGGAGGGAGGGGCTTAGGTGGGTGATGTAATTCAGGAAGGAAGAGATTTTGGTTTTACATGACTGATCACTTTTCCATACTTCAGCCCACAGCATGATGAAGAGGAAATCCATGAGCTGGGTGTATTAAAAGGTAACTTTCACTGGAATCATAAAGATGGTTTGAAGACAGTTTCTTGAGCCAGGGCCTTGGGCAGGCTCCAGAGGCAGCACATAGCAGGCTGGGGCTCACAGCAGGTCAGGAGCAGGATGCGTGTGGTCCTCACTCTATTGCCATGCTCTGGATAAGTAGGTCAAGGAGGGGTGATGTGGTTTGGCTGTGTCCCTACCCAAATCTCACCTTGAATTTTAGCTCCCACACTTCCCACATGTTGTGAGAGGGACCCAGTGGAAGGTAAATGAATCATGGGTATGGGTCTTTCCTGTGCTTTTCTCCTGATAGTGAATGAGTCTCATGAGATCTGATGGTTTTGACAAGGGGAGTTTCCCTGCACAAGCTCTCTTCTCTTGTCTGCCACCATGTAAGACATGCCTTTCACCTTCCACCATGATTGTGAGGCCTCCCCAGTCACATGGAGCTGTAAGTCCATTAAACCTCTTTCTTTTGTCAGTTGCTCAGTCTCAGGTGTGTCTTCATCAGTAGCATGAAAATGGGTTAAAACAAGGGGTTAGGCAAGGCAGGGTGCTTAGAAAGGAGGCTGGGTAGTGGTGACTGGCATCTTGCAGCTGGAATCTTGCATATCATACCTGATAGCACCTGGGCCCTTTCAGAACACTGAGACCTGCTGTTCACTCCAGTAGAGGGAGGGGATCCCTGGTCTCAGCTGATTTGATGCCAAACTATGTGAAGAGAGTGGCCATGATACCCCTGGGGTCTTTTTTCTCACCCCCATGTGCAATGAAAAACTGGAAAATCCTTCAAAAGTCAAGTGTTTCATTTCTCCGAAGACTATTGTGTCCATTATTTGTTGCTACATAACAAATTACCACAATACTTTGTGAAAATAATCATTTGAAATGTTGTTAGCAGGATGGTAGACCAGGAAGTTCCAGGCTTTCATTTTCCCATGAAAATTAAATAATCAACTAATTATTGACTAAAATAACTTTATAGGAGCTCTGGGAACCAGCAAAAGATTTACAGCAACCATATGGTTACACAGTTGAGGAAAAAGAATGTTCAAATGGGAGAAAATTTTGAGGCATTTTTATTCTACTTAGCATAGTTAGGAGGAAGTGGTCCAATTGCCCAAGATGCAAAGAGCACAGTGGAATTTGTTTCCAATATTCAGGACTCCGTGGTGTTCCTGAGGGACTGCTTTCTGTCTTGCCTGACTTGCAAATCAGACAGAAATGCCAGCAGAGCTTGGATGTCAGGTTGGACCCTGTGGAAGGCAGTGGCAACTGCTGTGGTGGACGCAAACATCTGGAGGATGGGAGACCTACAGATGTCTGCAAGCCAGAGACTGCACACAGAGAAATAAAACAAAACACCTAAGGCATTGAGAAGAAGCAGGGTAAGTC
The DNA here is from genome assembly GCF_000001405.40 of Homo sapiens. Lineage (NCBI taxonomy): Eukaryota > Metazoa > Chordata > Mammalia > Primates > Hominidae > Homo > Homo sapiens. Next base: position 2,710,118 of record NC_000010.11, on the reverse strand, counting down.
TTTATTTTAGAGAAATAAAGCAGCCATATTTATGGAGGAATTGGGAAAAAGCACACTCACAGACTCAGGGAAGACACATGCCCAAAAGAGGCTGGAGAAGACACTGGGCCTTCATCCCAGGCTGTTCTCATGGCTCAGAGGCCTGCTGATTAATTAAGTTTTGCAGAATTTCCACATCAGTTTTGCAAAACCTGGGAGAAGTGACTGCTGACTGTTTTGTCAAACATCCAGTTTTCCACAAAACATCACAAAGCATACAAAGAAACAGGGAAACATGGCCCATCTAGAGAATGAAATGTGTCTAAAATATATCTAAAGAAACATAGGCTTTAAGCATGGAAGACAAAGACTTTAAAACCATGATCTTAAATATACTCAAAGAGCTAAAGGAAAACACAGAAGAAGAGCTAAAATAAATCATGAAAACTGTATCTACAGAAAATGAGAATATCAATGAAGAGATATAAATTACAAAAAAAATTAGAAATTCTGGAGCTGAAAAGTTAAACTGCTTTGCAAACATCCCTGGAGGGGTTCAACATCAGGTCTGAATAGGCAGAAGAAATAATCCATGAACTTGAAAACAAGTTATTTGAAATGATCAAGCCTGAGGAGAAAGAATAAGAAAAGAATTTTAAAAAGTGAACAGATTCTAATAAACATATGGGACATAATGAAGTGAACCAATTATTCTATTTTTGGAGTCCCAGAAAGAAAAGAGAGGGGCAGTGGGCAGAGGCATTCTTTGAAAATATAGCTGGCATGGTGGCTCATTACTGTAATCCCAACACTTTGGGATGCTGAGGTAGCTGGATCACTTGAGGTCAGGAGTTTGAGACTAGCCTGGCCAACGTAGTGAAACCTTGTCTTTACTAAATATACAAAACTTAGCCAAGCATGGTGGTGGGAGTGTATAATCCCAGCTACTCAGGCGATTGAAGCAGGAGAATCATTTGAACCTGGGAGGCAGAAGTTACAGTGAACTGAGACCATACCACTGTGCTCCAGCCTGGGTGACAGAATGAGACTCTGTCTCAAAAAAATAAAATAAAATAAAAAATACAGGCAGTAAATTTTCCAAATATGGGGAGATATAGATACACAAACCCAAGAAACTCAATGGATTCCAATAGGATAAATTCAAAGAGACCCACATTAGGACACATTATAATCAGTGTGTTGAAAGACAAAGGCAAAAAGAGAATCTTGACAGAGCAAAAGTGGCTTCTCACATTCAAGGGATTCCCAATAAGACAATACGCACATTTCTTAGCAGAAACCTTGCTGCCAGAAGGCAGTGAGATGACATAGAGTTCCGGAAAAAAAACAAAAACAAAAACAAAAAAAAACCTGTCAACTGATGCTTTTATACCTAGCAAAATAGTCCTTTAAAAATGAGGGGCATATTAAGTCATTCCCAGACAGTTTATTAACACTGAAATGACCTTACAATAAATGTAAGGTCAAGTAAAACAAAAGAATATTAAACTGGAACATGAAACCATATAAAAATATATAGTTCTACATTAAAGGTAAATACTTTAAAAGATATATAGGAAAACAGTATTATTATTATTTTCGGTTTGTAATGCCACCCTTTACATTTTCTACAGGGTTTAAAAGACGAATACATACAAATAATTATATGTTAATGGGTACACAACAAAAAGATGTGACTTGTCACACCAATTACAAAATGGGGAAACAGAGCTGTGAAGAAGAGTTGTATGCAATTGAGGTAAGCTTAGTATCAATTCCAGTTAGATTACTGTAACTTTAGTATATTATATAAAATACTCACTGGAATCACAAAGAAAATATTACAGAATATATGCAAAAAGAGGTAAAAAGTAAATAAAACCATGTCACTATAAAAAATTAACTGAATTGATTTTGCCAGTAATAGAGGCAAAAAAGTAATATGCAAAAAATAGTAAGAAATAAAACAAATAACAAAATGGCAAAAGTAAGTCCTTTCCACCAGTGATTACTTTAAATGTGAACAGATTAAACTCCTCAATCCAAATTCATGGATTGCAAGAAGGGATGAAAAAATAGGATCCAATTACATGGCATTTATAATAGACTCACTTTGGATTTAAGGGTATATAGGTTGAAAAAAATGGAACTATATATATTTTATGCAAATGGTAACCAGAAGTGGGTGGACATGACTGTACTAATATCAGACAAAATCAACTTTAAGTCAAAACTATTACAAGAGACAAAGAAGGAACTTATATATTAATAAAATCTTTAATACAACAATAAAATATAATAATTATAAACCTATATGCAGCAAACATCAGAGATCTAAAACATATAATGCATATATTTCCATAATTGTAAAGGAGAAATAGACAGCTGTTTAATAATGAATAGAAAAAAAGACAGGAGATTAATAAAAACATTGAATAACAACACTATAGAGCATGTGGTTCTAACAGACATACACAGCACACTCCACTTTGTAACAGTATAATACACATTTTTCTCAAGTGCACAGGGACATTTTCCAAGACTCACCATATGCTAGACTACAAAACAAGTCTTAATAAATCTAAAAATATTGTTATTATACAAGGCATTACATTGATCACAGTAGAGTAAAACTATAAATAAATTGCAGAACAAAAACTAGACAATTCAAGAATACATGAAATTAAACAACCCATTCCTTATAAAAACAATGGACCAAACAAGAAATCACAAGGAAATTTAGAAAATACCTTGAGACAAACAAAAATAAAAGCATAACACACCAAAATATGTAGGATACAGTGAATGGAAAGCCACTGTGTGGCAGTAAACTCTGCACCAAAGAAGAAGAAAGGTCTCAAATCAACTACTTAACTTTTAGAGAAAGAACAACCTAAATTCAATGCTAGCAGAAAGAAGGAAACAATAAAGATTAGAGCAGAAATAAATAAAATAGGGAATTAAAAACAATACAAAACATCAGTGAAACTAAGAATTCATTCTTGGAAAAGAGCAACAAATTTGACAAACCATTGGCCAGACTGACTAAGTAAAAATAAAAGAAACTTCAAGTGACTAAAGTCAGAAGGAAAGAGTGAACATTCCTACTGATTTTACAGAAATGTAAGAAATTTTAAAAAGTACTATGGACACTTGTACATCAAGAAATTAGACAACAAATAATCGAACCAATAATCAAAAGCCTCCTAACAAAGAAAAGATCATGATCAAATGGCTGCACTGGTGGATTCCACCAAATATTTGAAAAAGAATTAACACCAGCCCTCCTCAAACTTGTCAAACAAATGCAGTAGAAGGAACCCTTCATGACTCATCTATGAGGTGTTACTCTGACACCGCAGCCAGCCAAAGACCCTGCAATGAAATTACACACCAATATCTGTTATGAACTTGATGCAAAAATCCTCAACAGAATATTAGAAAATTATATCTGACTGTATACTAAAAGTATTATAAGCCACAGCCAAGTATGATTTATTCTTGGGATGCAAGAATGGTTCAATATATGAAAATCAATCAACTTAGTGTACTGCCTTAATAGAATGAAAATGTGCACAAACACACGATCAATTGATGCAGAAAAAAAATTTTGAGAAAATTTAGCACCCTTTCATGATAAAACACTCAATAAACTAAGAATAGAAGGAAATTACCTCAACACAATTAGGGTCATATATGAAAAACCCATTGCTAAACCCATAGCTAACTCCTACAGTTTAACAACAAAAAATTTCTAATTTCAAAACTGGCAAAATATTTGAATAGACCTTTCTGCAAAGGCACACAAATGGCTGATAAACACATGAAAAGTTGCTGAACATCACTAATCACTGGGCAAATGCAAATCAACCCCATAATGAAATGCCACTTTACACTGATTAGGTTGAGTATTAGTAAAAAAAAGAAAAAAAATTGTTGTTGAGGATGTGACAAAATCGGAACCCTTGTATACCGCTGGTGGGGATGAACAATAGTAACAGGAGAATACACATTTTGTAGAATACACATTTTGTAGAATACACAATTGTAACAGTAGAATACACATTTTTCTCAAGTGCACAGGGACATTTTCCAAGATTCACCATATGCTAGACTACAAAACAAGTCTTAATAAATCTAAAAATATTGATACTATACAAGGCATTACATTGATCACAGTGGAGTAAAACTATAAATAAATTGCAGAACAAAAACTAGACAATTCAAGAATAGGTGAAATTAAACAACCCATTCTTTATAAAACTGTGCTGTTGTGGAAAGAGTACGGCAGCCTTTCAAAAGAGTAAATCTTAGGATTACTATAAGATCCAACAGTTCCATTTCAGGGCATATATCTAAAAGAACTAACAGCAGGGACTCACAAAGACATGGCACATCCATGTTCATAGCAGTATTATTTACAGTTGCCAAAGCGTTGAAGCATCCTGTGTCCATGGATAGATGAATGAATAAACAAACTGTAGTATATACACACAGTGGAATATTATTCAGTCTTAAAAAGGAAGGGCATTTTGGCACGTTCTACAACATGGATGCATCTTGAAGACATGATGTTCAGTGAAATACATCAGTGAAATCTTCACTTATAATAGATGCATAGAGTAGTGAAATTCATAAAAACAGAAAATAGAATGGTGTTTGCCAGGGGCTGGGGTGAGGGGAAATGGGAGGGTAATTGTTTAACGGAGACAGTGCTTGAGTTTTCAAGCTATAACATTCTGTGATTGGGTGGTGGTGATGGTTTCGTGACTTTGTGAATACGCTGAATGCCACTGAATCATACACTTAAAATAGTTAAAATGGTAAATTTTATATTGTGTATATTTCAAAAGAAAACAACTGAACAAAATGACCTCAAGAAGAAAAATAACACAAATGTTATTTTCATTCATGAGTATACCCTATAAATCCACTGGCATTGGTCTGTTCTCTTCTGAGCCAGACTTTGATGAATTTAACTGGGCTTGCTTGTGCAAGGGGCTGGCTTCATGGGCACGAGACCTGAGTGTGCTCAGAGGCCACTTGGTCTTTCTTCTGTCATGGTCCTGAAGTTCTTAATAATTTTTGGACGAGAGGCCTCACGGTTTTCCTTTGCACTGGGCTCTGTATCTGCAGTGTACCCTGGGATCAGCGAAAGCATGCCTCACTTCTAAGTGTGGTTGGGTGTAGGTGGAGTGATGTGGTGAACTCATCCCCATCATACAAGTCTACTGCAGAATTTTTCAGCCTGTTGGTTATGAGTTTAGGGATGGGGTGTGTGTGGTAAGAGAAAGAGATGCCCCTTTTTTTGCAAGGGGTATATGCATCAGACAGTCTATTGTTCTGGAGACAAAGAAATGTTTTGAACATGATGTGAACATGTAGGATGCCTTTGGATCCATGAGGACCTCTGAGAGGTGAGCTTTTTCATAAGGAGGTGCATGCTAATAAGCCCAAGGTGTGGCAATGAACTTCTTGTTCCAGATCCCCACATCTCACCCAGGCTTGTCTTGACCTTACAGTTGCTTAAAATCCCTAAGTCTGTTTTACACAAAACACATTTCAAGCAACTCTCCCTTACATCGTATATAAAATTGATTTCCTGAATGAGAACACAAAATCTTTTTTATTTATCTAAGTTTTAATGTAATTATTTTTAGTTGAAAATTTTTAAAATATGTTTCTGCCATTCTATTTACTATCCATCTCATCTTGGTGTCAGAGTCCAAAGTCCAATGAGACTGTAGTTATTAATGTGGAAAAATGGATAGTGCATCAGAATTGACTTTAAATAGGAAATAAGTCCATGTTACCAAGAAAAGAGAACAGGAAGGGAGGTGCTCATGGGAGAGCCAGTGGGACGGTCTGGAAATGGGCAACATGCTTCACTTTGAGGATTCGCAGATGCTGAGTTCTGATGTGTATTGGTGAAGTCATCTTCCCTCAATTATCTTACGAGTGAACCCTGCAAGTCAATAAGCTGCAGACTGTGTCTACAGAAGCCTTAGGGATGAGTTCACTGTGTGTCCCTGAGCCTTCTGCTTCAGTAATCTCTAGTCAGTTGCATTGACTCTGGCCCCCTGTTTTCTCCTCCTAAATGCCAAGCTCTGCTTCAGTGCTTAAAGCAATCTTCCCAACATTGCTTACATTTAAATATTTGTTTATCTGACTGAGATTCAAACAGATGCAGTTCTCTTTCTGAACATACAAGACTCTCAGAAACTCAGATTTGAAAGAAAGCAACCCAAATCTGTTTCTTTAATATGGAGCATATGCATGTGTGTTAGACACCAGACATGCACAGACACACACACCTGTGCATGCACACGCAGACACACATGCATACAGCTAAATGCACAGCCAAACAGCACCTTCTCCTTTCGTAATGCAGGATGGGTTGGTTCGGGTAATTTCCATAAGTGTTAATTACCATAATAATTGCCCACCTGTGGAAGTTGGGAGGTGTTGGACAACCCATAGTTATATTGTACTGTGTAGATGGGGAAAATGAGAAGGGATTAATAACACCATGTTAGGTGGGCAATGACATCTTTGTCTGGTTGAAACTGTGAGTATTTAGAGTTGGAGCTTTGCATTTTACTTGTAATGTTAAGGCTTTCTAAAAGTGGATTATAAAGAACAGAGACATTCCCCCAATCCTTATCAGAAACAGACGAGTCTGCAGTGAATCCCAAACTGTTAATATAACAGCTAAAATGCAAAATTTTGAGTGGGCTCATACACCATTTTAGTTCATTTTAAAAAATATTTCAGTTCAGTTTGTATGGTTTATGCATTTTAAAAAAAATGCTGAGTTATTTCTTATCCTGACCTCTCTGCTGTTTTGATAGATATTTAATTCTTTTGCAGGCTGGAAAGAATCAGGAAGGCCCCTAAAGACTCAAAGGAGTCTTCACAGCCCTGTACACACGCTAACACTCCTTTAAGGCAGTTATTTAAAAAAATAGAATCATCTATGCTTTTAAAGTGGTCTAAAGGCATTTAGAGTAACCCACTCAGGATAATGTAATTTGGAGGAGAAAGATCACCAGTTTGCTTCTTGAAAGCTAGGAAGAGATGACCAGATGCAAAAAAAATGTGAGAAACATGACGTTATTGGCTACTCAAAGATAAAATTTGAATTAACCAATATGATAAAAATTAAGTTTTGAGTATTTCTCTATTAATGCTTTTTTTGACTCTTTCCATTTAATAATACAGTCATGTGTCACTTAGCAAAGGGGTTACGTTTTGAGAATGTCTCACTGGGCTATTTTGTTATTTGAACATCACAGACTGTACTCTCACAATTCTAGGTGGTATTTATGCTTATTTATGTATATTTTTTATATGAAAAACCAACTGTCCCAGCACCATGACTGAATATCAATCATTTCCTCTACTTGACCTGCACTGCCAATATCAAGTATTATATACCAGGTTTCCATATGTGCTCCATTATAATTATGGGCCAGCTGTTGTCCATGCAGTCCATCATTGACAGAAATATTGTCATCAGCATGACTGTAGTCTAGGCCCAAGCAATGCCACATTTCATACAGGGCCAGTTCTCCAAAAACTATGAAGCCCGCAAAATGCCCTTAATCTCCACTTCCAACATTCTTTTACCTCTTTGGGCATCCTGTCAAGGTCCCAAGTTACTTATGAGCTCATCGTTCTGACCTGCTGTCAGAGAAAAATTCGATAAGTTAATGTAAATAAAGGTTAAGTAACTGTTCAATCTTAAAGCCTTACTTCTGCTAGGAAGGAGTAAAAGAGATCTGAAAAGGTGAAATTCAAATATGAAGAAGGGGATGGGGTGCAGCCCTGAAATCAGACAGAAATCAGCTCCAGCCACACTTCTACAAGGTTTAAGATTTTTTTCCGATTCCTCCAAGAGCCAACAAGGGTATCTTCTGGAATAATGAAAATGTTTCCCAGGATTAGACTTTAGAAAAAGCTTTGAGGTCTCAGGGAGGTGGGGTAAGCCTGAGTGCTGGCTCTTGAAGTCCGTCACCCCGTTACCAGCTTCCATGGTTTCGCTGCCTGATCTCCTGACGGAAAAACCAGGGGGCGCGGCCAGGATCATTAGGAAGAACTGCTCCCGGGTCAGAGCACGTAGCCACTTCCTCCCCGGAAATATGCCCCAGCGGCCATTCTCTCCATGAGTCTGGGCATTCCCTAAAATTGTGCATGGCTGCTGGTAATCCCACGGCAGGGCTCATCAGTTTAATAACTTTCAAAGCCCTAATCACAGCACAGAGGGGAAATTTTCTTCTTTGGAGCTAAGTTGGGCAGTGGAGGGCACAGCTTTGAACTGCAAGGCAGAATGTGGCCATTCGCTGGGGCTCATCCTCTGCTCCGGTAGCTCCGGAGACCAAGTCTAATTGAGTAGATAAATCATCCACACTCTCTATGAAAAGCGACTGCACCTTTTATATTTTCGTGGAAGTTGTTGAAAAAAATCTGAAAAATATATGCTCACCTTGGCTACAGTTCACAGAAATTTTGCCTCCAATTCTTCTTTTGACAATGTGGAGATTTTTTTTTTCAACTCATGCTGATGCAAAGAGAATTTGAGCATTTCCCTCTTTTCTCTTTTGCCCTCAGTTTAATGTGTGATCATGTTTCCCTCCACCCTGAACGATGACTTGGTCTTCTGCACAACGATGCTTGCTGACATTTCAGAAAGAAGCTGTCAAGAGAGCCAGGATTATTTTTCATATTTAAAATATTCTCTAGATGATTCTGAACTTGCCTTTCATGTTTGATTTTTCTTTTTTTTAATTTTGATTTTTCATTTTTTCTTTTTATTTTTTTTAAGCTACTATTGTGTTGGAGGCCAACGGAAGATCATTTAAAAGTGACAGGGGTGGTCTCTAAATTAAGAGCTCCTCTCACAAAGTTTCCCCTTGCTCTCATTATCATGACAGCAGTTACTCTTGATAAATTTCTTTCACAAGAAAATGGTAAGGTAGGGGTGATCATTCTCTTAGCAACTGTGTGGAGGTTTTAGGGGATAGATTTTGCAGCATTGAAATCAAGCAAGCCGTAATTACTTCTGCTTTCTGGGTGCTTTGAATTCAGGCATCAAGTGTGTGCATCACATTTATTATGTTTGCATTTGAACATTTTGGGGAAAAAGGCTAGATGAGGGCCCCAAATAAAGTAATAATGAGATGTAAACTGGGATATGCTGAGGTTCAATTTTAGAGAATTAGGAGGTCTAATAATCACTGACCAAGTTCTCCATGGTTTCTACCTCGCCAGCTGTTGGGGATTCCCCTCAAATCCCAGGGGTGAGCTGAGGGAGGAAGTGGCGGACAATCCTGGCAGGTGGCCTGGTGTCTGTGACCTAACCGTGCCATGAGCTTGAGCCTTAGCATGCCACGTCTATCTAGGAGGGCTTGTTGCAGGGCACACCCACCCCTGAGACTTGGTGGGTGGATGGAACCCAGCTCAGAATAGGCATTTGTGCCTCATGGTCCATGGTCCCCATGTGGTCCTTCTCTACCAGGGACTGGTGGCATTCTCTGTATTCTTTCACAAAAGGTGTGTAGTTCCTTGATTTAGATGGCATGGCTGTGCTCCAGAACTCTAGAGATCTGCATTGTGATCCAGCCGCTGAGTTCTGCCGTAAACCCTAAAGGGTGTCTCTCCCACCACTCTGACGCCATGCAGTCTTTGGGCCACATGGACCAAGAAGCAGGACTGCTTACACCTTAGCTGCATGTGCAGAGCCTCTTCCTGCTCTGAGCCCCACACAAAGGTGACCATGGCTTTTGGAGACCCCCCCCCCCCACTGTAAGGTTTGAGTTGTGCTCCTAGGTGTGGAGTTTTCAGAACCCAAAGAGGCTTACTAGACACCATGCTTCCATCTTGGTTACAAGAAGTGCAAGATGCAACCATTTCCCTTTATTTAGATGGGGCGTCCCCACATGCCCCTGGGCCATTGGAACTTCAAATAACCCACTGACATGGGTGTCTCCTGGGTCTTCATAGGGTTCAGTTATCACCCTCTGAAGCTCATGTGTCCTATCAAGGGCTCCAAGGTGTTGCCACTTCTTGGCCATCCCATCCAATCCATCCAATTTGCTGGATGTCATCTCTACAGTGGTTTGATGGGATGGGCTGAGGGAAGTTCAGGTGGCCCAGGTCTCTTTGGACTATATTATGGAAGAAGGCAAAGGTGTTAGCATCCCTGTGAGACAGAACTGTATGTAAGTGCTATTCCATGTTCTATATGATGTTCAGGTTCATTGTGTTTGACCCTCCTATCTGATAAGAATGAAAACAAAGATTTTCATGAAACCGGTGGCCACATGTCACATAATAGGAGCCATGAGAATTAGCTCTAGGAAAAATGACCACGTCTGGGGTGGTGGTAACAATGGAAGTTACTGATTTTTTGAGCCTGTGGCAGTCTGCCCTCTCTCTAAGATCTGTGCGATTCCTGCGGAGGTCCAACTCTTCCTCCTTGAGGAGGTTCCAGGTCTCAAAACCGGCTTAGGCCAGGAAACTGAATGAGGAATCAGACTTTATGGCGGTGGCTGCTCTCAGTTTTATGCTCATGGTCTCTTGATTTCTTTTCTTGGTACAAATTGAGTGTGCTTTGTGGGCTGCCCATCCATGTTGCCCCTGGAAATGCCGTATTCAGTTAACCAGCCTCAGAGCTTTCTGCAGATCACACCCCTGCTCCCCTGCCCCCAGCCCATCTTAGTTACACCCACCAGGGTCTAGCTATTAAGTGCCACCACCTGGCTTTGTCATGCTTTTATTGGCAGTATTTTTTTTCTGTCAATAATAATGCATCATACTTTCATTGAAAGGCAACACAGGAGACAGCCTTGTTCAAGTTATTTCAGGAAACAGATTTCAATTCATCATCATACAGCCCTAGAATATCGCTCTCCACCTCTTTATTATGTGTTCTGGTTTGCCCAGAAGAAGAGACATGGTCTGTGACACATCTTTTGGGAGTTCTCCAACAGTAACTTTTGCATAAGCCTTTTAATAAAATAACTTTTTATAGCTATTGTAAATATAGATTACATCGTCATGTATTCATTTCCTGGTTTATTTAATGCATTCTAATATATTGCCAATGTTTTTCTGATACCCTATGCAATAACAATATTATTATTACTGATAATAATAGCTAATATTTATTTGTTCCAGATACTCTTTTAACCTGTATTAGCCCATTATGTATCAAGGTGTTTTAACACCCTGTGTTATTTATGTATCAGGGTATTTTAACACTTGCCTAGAGACTCTACAGATTATATGTGTGTCTGGAGATATCCTGGCTTGAACTGTTATCCTGTATTCTCATGTATGCCATATATACTGTAGAGAAAATCTCTATGTTGAAATTTCTTTCTCTGTTGAAGTTATTACAAAAGGCAAGATCAAAGTGCCAGTCAAATAATTGGCCCTATATTAAGTATCTTTCAGTGTTATTCTTTCCAGACTTAGTCTTTTTACAGCTCATTACGCCCTTTTTTCTCTTTTTAAATTAATATCGTTCTGAGCCCAGTGCTGAGCTCACTCAAGTCAGAAGTTATGGAAAAGCATAATGCAGCTTTTATTAGAAGACATGTTTCTATCGAGTTCATTTAAATGAAGCAGCTGATCATTTAAAACACGGGAAAAATAGATCATTTAGAATTTTAAAAAGAATATGCTGCACTCAAATGTTTTCTTTGATCTTAACAGTCTTTTAAATGTAGGAACATGATGTTAGGCTGGCACTTAAAATCGAAAGCTGTCATTTTTCGAGTGACACCGCCCACCCACCCCCACCGACCCCCATATCTGGAGTTGCTCATCCTCATCACTTTCCTTACAACTGCCATTTGCTTTCCAAACAAAGCCATGTTTCTTGTAAAAATACTTCCTGTTAATTGAGGAACTCTTGGCAAAACAAAGAAAGTTAAAAATTACTTTTCTTGGTTTCCCATTGTTCTACAGCAAGTAAATGAGAGTTAATACTGGAACCCAGCTTCCCCGAATTTCAGCCACGGGCCTTTTCTCTCCATGTCGTGCTCCTGTTCTAATTATTTTGATAGCATGGTGGCACAGTGATGTCACTGAGAATATTAGTGTTTTCAATATTTGAAACCTCATTGGAACAATCATAGAAAACACCCATTAAAGTCTAGTAATAGGAAAGTTCAACATAAAACGTAAGCACAAAGGTGAATGAAAATTTACACATATAGTTTTATTTCTTGTCAGTGGCATAACACTTCTCGTTTCTCCAACCATCAGAGAAAACAGTTTATCCTGTTAGAATCCATGCCTTACTGCATACAGTGGCTTTGTTTATTATTCTTTTGTTTTGCTTTGCCTTTTAGCAGGGCTATCATTCTAAGTTGGAAAGATTGAATTTTAAGGATGGAATTATAGAAAACAGCTAGCAAAGAACGTACTTCCCTGTAAAATCAGAGCTTCCAAGGCTGCTACCCACCTGCCTATGTGTAAGGTGGGTATGATTTGTAACCATCGCCAGCAACCCTGGTTCTGAGTCTTCAAGCAGCATGCTTGACCTTAATTCGGGGTCCCTGATGGATTTTTCCTGTGTCCATTAAGCCTAGACATATGGGAATTATTAGCAAACTGAATATTTTTAAAATAGTAAGTTATGAAAAGTTTTTAAAATTTCTCAAGAGAAACATAGGATATTCAGAAATATAGCTCCGTATCAATGAGTCAGCAGACACGACTGAGCACATATGACATGTAAGGTATTGTAATTAATCCAGGCAAAAATACAAAAAAAAAGGATGTGATACTTTCTGGAAAGTAGGTTAAAACTGGTTGATGTGAGAAACACATCAAACATTAATTGAGCCTACACATCATTATATAATGAGAGATAAATATGTAGACTGTCCAATAAGTGAAGGAGGATGAAGATATGGCAGAAACTAGATCTGTATATTTACAAATCCTCCATATGGCTCATGTGTGCTTTGGGTGTGTACATGTTTACCTTTGTGTGCATGCTCACCTATGTGAACATGGTCACCTTTGTGTACATGTTCACCTGTGTGTGCATGCTTACCTGTGTGCACATATTCACCTGTGTTTACATGGTCACCTGTGTGCACATATTCACCTCTGTGTACATGCTCACCTGTGTGATTCCCTGATTTTATAATGAATGGCAGGCTATCTTGAGAAAGGATGACAGGACAGTATAAAGTGAGAGCACTAAAAATATTATTAATACATATATTATTATTAATTTTGATTCAAACTACAAAGAATCAAAATGCCTCCATAAAGTGATTTGATAACTCTCATGCTCCCATAATTAATAAGGCTTTCGTCCTCCAATAATCCTGTGTTTGTCTTACTGCAGTGACTTTTTATTACATTACTGGAAAGATATCAACAAATTATAGATTTCCTCTTTTTAAAAAAGGTTTAAAAGTATTTCTATAATGTAGTATTCCACTATAAAAGAATAGACATAATCTTGAATAAATTTATACATTTGTTCTTCAGAAAGATAAGGAACTTCTTATTTTTGGCATTTAGAGTAATTAGGTAATCCAAATTTCATCATTCTCATTTATTGTGTGAAATAATTTTAATTTGTGTTATAAGCAGAATATCTATAGCTTCTTAAAAGGATGTATTTCCAGAGAATATATACATTAAGGAATGGGAGGAGAAGGTGAAGAATAATGTATGCTTTTTCAAGCTGTCCTGTTAATTTTTATGCAGATCTTGGGTAGACTCTGCCCCCTGGTCAGAATGGCCAGGACAGAGGGTGAAGAGTAGGCCTTGGAGTGAGTGCACAGGGGTTGGTGAGGGTGGCTGGAGGAGAAGAATGGCTCTTAAACTCACTCTGCTTTCTTCTTTTCAACTTAGTTCTATTTCTGGTATTGAGTGTCCATATTTATTTATTAGGATTTACTGAAACACAGTCAGGATGCATGTTGAAATGCAGGCCAGTCAGCAATTGATCTCATGGATCAAGGATGAAAAACAGCAAATACAGGTTCAAGGTGAATTTGAAAATGAAGAGTGAAGTGAAACCCAACTCAGAGGTCAGGAGACCAGCAGCATTGCTGGCCACTCTACATGCCTGTCTTCCTCAAATCATCACCAGAAAATCCTAGAACAATAAATTGACTCACAGAGATCAAGTAGCATGCATCATGTTACCTGATTAGTTAGGGGCAATGCTGGGGTTCAGCTCTTTAACCCTATGTCTGATTCTGCATTTAAAATATTTAGTTAATTCAACAAACATTCAATTTATTGAGCACTTACTATGCAGCTTGGTCTGCCCAGGGGATGTGTGGGTGGATACCAGAGTTCGATGGAGAAATCCTGTGTCCTTGACAATTGCCTTGTTCCTTGGATCTTGCATCCTGATATGGTTTGGGTGTGTCCCCACCCAAATATCATCTTGAATTGTAGCTCTCATAATCCCCACATGTCATGGGAGGGACCTGGTGAGAGGTAATTGAATCATGGGGGCAGGTTTTTCTGGGCTGTTTTTGTGATCGTGAATAAGTCTCACAAGATCTGATGGTTTTTTGAAGGGCAGTTTCCCTGCACATGCCCCCTTGCCTGCTGCCATCCTGGTAAGATGTGACTTGCTCCACCTCGCCTTCCACCATGATTTTGAGGCCTCCCCAGCCATGTGGAACTGTGAGTCCATTAAACCTCTTTCCTTTATAAATTACTCAATCTCTGGTATGTCTTTATTGGCAGCATGAGAACAGACCAATACACATACCTTGATGATCACATCCCATCCTGCATGCTGTCTCTGGAATTCTTTTAGATGACATAAAATAAACTTATGTCTTTATAGGTTGCTTTTTTATCCGTTCTTTTTACAGACAGCCAAACCCAAATATTTCAGAGGTTCCAGCAACTCACTGACACATTCAACCATGGGGTTGAATGAAGTCACCTATGGGGAGAGATTGTTAGTGGCAGAACTGGCCAGGATTCTTGCAGATTTTAGACTTTCCTGGATCCAAATCCAGAGCAGTCTCCACCTCAGTCTTTCAAGTAGATGTGAGGCAGATCCTCCAGGTGACCCCAATACCCCATGGACCAGTGCACCTGCCATTCTCATCCCTGTGCTTTGCTCATTCCCTTAGCACACTTTTGGGGAGTTCCCCCCAAATGTCCTTTCTCCCTCATTTCCAGGTCCTCACCTGTCCTGGGAGCTGGAGCCCTGTCCTGTTTCCCTGTCCTGTTTCTGAAGCAGACATGGGCCAAGAACATGTGAATCCCACCTAAAGTGCTGGAACTCCATTCTGTTTATATTCAAAGAAAACAAAAATCGAACACCTCTTTGTACCTGTTTCTTAGTTAAAAGTTTGCACTAGGCTGACATAAACATATTTTCAGTAATTTGGGGAACATAGTCAAAGTCTTGGAGTTGAAGATTCTTCAACAGAACAAAGTTAAACCACGTGAGTAGAACTTTTCCCAGCTTCGTATTAATATATTTACTTATAAACTATACCTAATTTTATTTCGTAAAAAAGTCCTAATGGCTACATGTGAACCTTGGCTCACCATGTTGTTTTTATCCATTTGGAAGATAACTTGATGATTTGTAATAGTAGCAATTTGAAGGCATTGAAAGAAGAGCTGTGTGTTTTGCAGAGTGAAGTTATTTATGCGTTATTTTGTGTATGTCGATGACAGTAATACTGGAGATATGCAGCACGCTGTAGGGTAAACTTACCTGGCACATATTCCTAGATAATGCCTGTGAATGGAAATGTACTCAAATTTTTTTCTTAAGACTGACTCATGTAAACACATGATCAGAAATGCACACCAAGAAAATAAGCACCATAGACAGGCAGAAGAAGAAAGACAAAAAAGAAGGAAAGTCAGATAATGTTTAAAAGCAGGTATTCTGAACTGCATGTCTAAAGCAGGAATAGACATTACACTACAGATAACATATTGATCTTCTAATGGTGTTTTCTAAGAAAAGTCCCAGGTATTTTTACTAATTCTAAACCATGAGACCCTAGTGATCATCAAATGTATGTTAATTTAGACCATATGTACAATTCTCTTCATAAAATGTATTTTCCCTCTTATGTAATCTAAAATTTTAAGTTCTCTAGAGTACAGAACACACACTTCTCCTAACACCCCCAAAAATTGTTGATATGTAGTAGGCTTTTTTGTTTATGTAAAAATGTGTAGTATAATAATGTATAGCTTGATATATTTTTCAAGCTTGTCTATAAAACAAGACTTGTACCTAAATAAGTGACAAAACCACTGACAAATTGAATGATCAAATTAACTAAACTTTTCTAATTTAAACGTTAGCTCATATTATATACACAAAAGGTAAGCATCCGAGAAGAGGGAGAGACGCTAGAGAGAAACCAGTTGGTAAAATGTTGTCTGCAGGTAATGCTCGGTCATTCTAATAAAATACAACAATATTTGCATACTCTATAGAGAAATGCCTTACTTTATGCTCTGTTAACAAGCTACATGTTGATTTCTTCAATAAGATATGTTGCTACACAGTCATAATTAAGATAAAATAAAATGATCTTTATCTTTGTTGAAAAAATAAATCATCTCTAAGTTCCTGTAATTTATTTTTGCTTCGAAGAAGACATTTAAAACATTTTCAAGGACATTATGTCTTCAGGCCTTAAAATATCAAGTAATTATGAAATCAATGATCATTTTGGAGGAAGTAATGAAGTACGGAAAATAACCACTTCAAATTATATAAATCATTAAAACTGATGCCATTAGGAAATGAAGAGTGAGAGTATTAAATGTCTCAAAGTTTGATAAAAATGGAAATTGTATTCTAAGTAATTTTGAAGAAAATATCTTTAGGTTTCTATAGTTAATCTATTGTTGTAATTCCTGGTTTTCTAGAAATTACATCATTAATTAATCCTTATAAAGCACTCATAGTAGATTTCATCTCTATCCTTTTTGTTTTTGAAATATATATTTCAAGTATTATGGGAAATAAGTTCTTTTCAGCATGTGGTTATGGGAGGAATTTTGAAATAAAATTCTTTTCCTTTGTTTTCTTCCCATTGCTCTTAGAGCTAGATGAGGAGGGTTATTGACACCACTGGATTAAAAAAAAATTATCTTGCTCATTCAGAAGTTTTGCTGGTTAACCTGGCACAATTTGGCCTATTTTTACCTGGTATTCTTTTAGAAAACATATTTCTAGGTTTGGTCTGTGAACACTTCACTCTTCTGGTTATTGTTGTTGTTGTTGTTATTGGCAGTTTTTTATTATTTTTATTCTATTTTATTTTATTTATTTATTTTTTTGAGACGGAGTTTCACTCTGTCTCCCAGGCTGAAGTGCAGTGGTGTGATCTTGGCTCACTGCAACCTCCACCTCCAGGGTTCAGGTGATTCTCTCGCCTTGGCCTCCTGAGTAGTTGGGATTACAGGCACATGCCACCATGCTTGACTAATTTTTGTATTTTTAGTAGAGATGAGGCTTCACTATGTTGGCCAAGCTGGTCTCGAACTCCTGACCTCAAGTGATCTGCCCACCTCAGCTCTTTTTGACATTTTCTTCAGTGATTTCTCCCCTCCTTTACATGTGAATCTCGGGCTAGGATGTCTCTGTTATTTTCTGCCTCTTTCCTGTGGTTTGCCGTGATGGCCTGTGGTGCTGAGTCCTGGCCCTGCACCAGGGACCCTGTGAGCGCCTGGGGAACCCAGCCCTGCTGGTCCCAAATGGCAGCCACCTCCTCAGAACGTGGGGTTCCTGCAGCATTCAAGGAACACACAATAATCAGAGGCTTGTTTCCTGCCTGAATCATGAGAGAGGCCTGGATAGACTAGGAGGTCTCTTGAGAGGTGTTAACATTCACATCTCAGCTCCCCTGGGAAAGCTGCAAGGGCACAGGCTCTCAAATCCTTAGTCTTGAGGAAAGCGCAGGATTACATAAAACCAAGGGTCCTGCACAACTCAGACCAGAGCATATAGTCTTGGCTTAGCTTAGGATCCAAGGGAAGACTCAGCTTGGGAAATACGTCATACAAATCCCATACAAAGAGATGTGTGTGTATTCCCTGAGTAGTGTGCGTGTGTGTGCATGTGGGCATGTATCTGTGTGTGGACATAATATACTCCCATACTGGTATATATACACAAACCTGTCTCACTGATGCTGATATTGAAGAAATATGTTAATTGAAATGATGAAAGATTCACTACTGGTAGAAAATGGCAAACTCAAATTTTAGTCGTTTCCTTGCAAACATGTGCTGCATATGTTCAAGTATCATCACTTTTACACAAATAATTTTTGTACTTATTACAGACTTAAATTAGATGATCCAACGCATTACATTTTCAGAAATAAAGAAAATGCCACCTGGCTGTACTTTGGCTGGTCTACGGTGAACCGGGCGGTCATCACTTAAGGACTGGATGAATGACTCCATGTTCCTTACCAAGTCTACCCTGGATGGACGACGTATAGACACTTTAGAAAGAAAATATGAAGTGCCATCTAATAGTTAATATTGGGTTTAATATTGCATTGTCAACCTTCAAACATAGTTTTAATTCAGGTAAAATTGTCTCCTTATAAAATAAAAGTGGGGTATAAATATGTGCATTGTCTATGCAGGTCTATTGTAGTACCTGATCTATGGAGAGACAGTGCAGCTAAGTCTGCCCCTAGTGAGTCACTGTCCTTTTACGTGGGGGACAGAATTCACAGAATTTTAGTCTTCCTATAGTTTAATTCTTTAAATAAATAATCTTTCTTATAAAACACAAAATTTCATGACTACTGCTTCTTAGTTGTAAATGGGATTGTTTCGTTGACCATGCGATATTCCTCCAATCCAGTGGATTCATATTTATTAAAATGTTCATTTATTCAACATCTATTACTTGAACACATGACTTACTTTTTTTCTGAATAAAGGTTATTTTAGTAATTTTATTGGAAGGTAGCATAATCTAATTGCTTTATTTAAGTGTTACTGAGCATCTGTAGAAGTATGACTTAGGTAAACATGCGCCCCCAAGTCCCGTTTGCAGTTCCTTTTCTTTGGCAAACAGCAGAATCCCGTCACACGTAGCCCACTGTTCAGCCTCTGTCATGGGTAGAGAGAGGACGGACTGGACCACAGCAGGGTCTCTGGGGTGTCAGGCGCAGAGGGGGAGACAGGCTGCCACGGGTCCCAGAGCATGGCAGGGAAGTTGAGGTGGAGACCCAGGGCCTGCCCCACCTTTTAGAGAAGCCTGAACAGAATCAGTTTTTAAGCAGCGGCTCTATCCAAGTCACACCAACTCACCCTGAACTCCTGACAGTTAGGAACACAGCTCCGAGCAGAATTCTCTCAGTTCAGAAAGTCAGGACCTTTGGGACGTGGAAGTTGGTGCCCCGAAGCCGCCTCTATGGTAGACGCAGCCTGTCCAGCAGCTCGGATGGACTGCACCAGGTTCCAAGCACCCCCTAGGAGGAACATACGGAAATGGGCCTTGCAGCGCAGCTCCCATGGGCTCTCTGGTTTTCCATGCCCCTGTGGCTATGGCCTACACTCTGACCCCAGGCTCAGCCCAGCTTCCTTTCCTGGAGGATCTGCAGGCCACACATTGTTTTTTTTTTTTTTGTTTTTTTTTTTTTTTTTGCATAGATGAGGCACTTTTTCTGAATTTTCACAAACCATGCATAAGTTTTTCTCTTGTTAGACTCCCTGAGTTTGATTGAAACAATAGAACAATACCAATTATATGCATCAATACCAATGATATAGTAGAACAATACAAATTATATACATCATCATTTGTGTGTGTGTATATATATATATTTACAATATACAAATTATATGCATTATGTACAAATTATATACTTACAATTATATACATCACTGTGTCACCTCCAGGGAGCTAGACTTGCTGACCTTTGGCTCACTTGCCTCGGCGTTGGGCCCAGTACAAAGTTGATCATTAAGGCAGTCACCACACAGGTGAAGGGCATGGGGTATGGACACCCACGTCTTTAGCTTTCAATCTGGCCTGGCCCTTCCTCATTGCATGACCTTAGTCCAGGTACTTATTCTCAAAGCTTCAGTTTTCTCATCTGAAAAATAGGATGATAATAAAATTACTTATCTCACAGGGTTATCATAAGAATTCGATGAAATAGTGTGTATGAATCACCGGGTATAGTGCCAGGCAAACTGCAAGTGCTCAATAAACATCAGCTATTCTGTTTACTGTTAATAGTGTTTTCACTAAATATTTGCCAGATAGATAAATACATAAGGTCAGCTACTTTGGGGGTGAGTTTCAGTTGGCAAATTTGTCTGAACTTCCCATGCAACTGAAAATTGGCAGTCAGTAACAATTGCATACAAATGCTTTGTGGTTTGAAAAAAGTAGGACTGGTGAGTGAAGTTCATCCATGGGCAGTGTGATTTACAAGTGTGCATTGAGTAGGACCATCCACCAATACCTAGCATGTCTTCTTCTCCACATTTTACTGGGAAAAATAACACTTCTCACTTAAATTTATGTTACTCCAAACATGCATCATACTCAATAGGAATAAACACCATTTCTCTCAAGCCTCACACAAAATAATCTCATCTGGTGATGGACAGAAATGGAGATACATACACATTTTTGTATAGATGAGCATTTTTCTGAATTTTCATAGATCATGCATAAGTTTTTCTCTTGTTAGACTCCCTGAATTTGATTGAAATAATAGGACAATAAAAACTATACACATCACTGTATCTTTCAGTGACTCAGTGGCAAGAACCTTGCTGGGATGGTTGGATGGATACATAGGTGGATGAATGGATGGAGGGACAGGTGGAAGGATGGGTGGATACATGGACAGATGGGCGAATGGATGGATGGATGGAGCAACAGGTGGAAGGATGGGTGGATAGATGGACAGGTGGGTGAATGGATGGATGGATGGAAGGTTGGATGAGTGGATGGATGGAGGGATGGATGGATGGATGAAAGGATGGATGGATGGATGAGTGGCTGGATGGATGGAAACATGGATGGATAGATGGATGAGTGGATGGATGGATGGATGGATGAGTGGATGGGTGTTTGGATGAGAAGATGGATGATGAATGGGTGAGTGGATGGATGGATAGATGGAAGAATGGATGGGTGAGTGGATGGATGGATGGATGAATGGATGGATGGATGGATGGATGGACGGATGGATGGATGAGTGGATTGATGGGTGCATGAGTGGGTATGTGGGTGGGCAGGTGGATAAACAGATGAGTGGGTGGGAGGCTTGGGAGCTGACTCAGAGTCTTGCCTTTAGTAACACTTACATAGTCATTTAATATTTTTTAGTCATGGTTTCATCATGATTTTCTTCATTTTTAGGAGTAACCCTTATATGCACTCCTGAGAAATAAGCAAGTAATGAAAATATGAAAGTACTTTGAAAAATTAAATGTCATATAAGAGTAGCCAGATATTTTATTGTTCGACTCTGGAACTTTGAAATGGAGTCACTTTATACTTTCTGACGTACAGGACAGTTATTTTCCAGACTGAAAATTCTCAAACCCAGTCGTGCAAATGATTCTTCCTGCAGTTGTAAAGTCTGGAAGCTTCTTTATCTATTTTCCATACACTCCACTCTGGCAGGCAATTGTTCAGGTGGTAATGCAAAGGTAAGCAGTTTATTGCAGATGGCAGTTAGCAAGCAGTCAGAGAGCTTGAAGCTTATCCTTGCCACGGAACATGAGTAGTGACCCTCTGGATGTCCTAACGGATTTCGGAGGAGCCATTTCAGGGATCAATGGCAGTTCCATTACTGTTTTCGTGGTTAATCAATGGTGCACACACTGTGACATACCCTGCTTCCCAGACACAGAGCTGCCTCCTGACTGCAGAGGGGTTTGCTCTCGAGGGAAGGTGGGTCTGAAAACTGACAGGAAAAAGGGCAACAGTGCTTAGTAAATTTTCTCCTGCCACAGCAAAGGAAAGCTACGGCTCAGCATGTTTTACTTCAGTACTCAGGGAAGATTAAAATGAAATTGATGATATGGTTGACAACAAATGGTACTGTGCTTGGGTGTGGCTGAACAATGACTATGTCATATTTGAAAATAAAAAAAAAACCTTGTTTTAAAGAATAAAAATAAATGAAGCCAAAAGCAAGGCACGTCTTTAGCATTCCTAAAAGTGTTTTTTAAAAGTTCTTTAGGTTTTTTCCTCTTTTATTGTCTTAGAATGTATATCTTCAGTGTATACAACAAGAAAAATATTACTACTTTTACAAGAATCAACATGCAGAATTTATCTTATATTTGAAGTCTTTCCATTTCAATTACTGTACTTTTTGCTGTGAAGAATCAAATGCAATTGCTCATTAGGTAGAGAATGCCATGTCACTATAAAATAATGAGACTTTCTGTACAATTTGCTTCTTTAAATTCTTAACTTATTTTCTAGCCTAATGTAAAATAGTACTAGACAACAATATTTTCTGTCTTGTCTTTACACATATTTTTGCATTAATTTCTGTCTAATTTTTTTCTTTAGTTTTACTTCTTGATTTCTCTTGTACCGAAACTCATCTGACTCAGGGGTGATATACTGATAACAAAGCCAGGACAGACTTGTTCCTGAGACTCTCAAAAAAAGAGTGTACATTTGCTTTCTTAATGTCATAATCCTATGTGATTGGGAGATTATTCACTTTCTGTTTAAATAGGTGGCATGTGCAGTGTGTGTGTGTGTGTGTGTGTGTAATGAGAAATAAACTAACAACTTTAAACCTCTACTGTGTGCCTCACACTGTGCTATAGATGTGTATACATTATTCTATATGATTCTCAAAAGAATCCTACAAGGTGGTGTGGCTATGACACCCATTTTCCAGGTCAGAGAATCGAGACACAGGAGAATAAAGCTATTTACCCATGCAGCTAGGAATAGGAAACTCTAAGCTGGACCTTTGAGCACAAGCTTTTCAGCTGTGTTGGTCTCTTTTGGGTAATCACTGAACTCCAGACCTCCGCATTCAGAATGAGGTTTGCCAATTCTCAAACAGGTGAGATCAATTTAAACTCATAGCATCAGCCCTAGAGAAGACAAAGTAACACTGATGCCCTGATCATTTAAAACAGGGGTTGGCACACATTTTTGGAAAGGGCCAGATCCTAAATATTTCAGCCTTTGTTGGCCTTAAGATCTTCATCAACACTAGTCAGCTGTCCTTGTGGTGTCAAAGCAGCCAGAGAGCTGGATTTGGGCCACAGGAATTCATTTGCCAACCCTGTTCAAAACATCTGTTGGTATCATCAGAGATCGTGGTGGTGTCACAGATTTTTAATATTATTTCTAAAGGAATGATCCGATATATGGGATATTTTGAAATATGAATTAGTATCAAGATATTACAATAGAACGTATTGGGGTATAGAAAGGTGGAAGTGAATTTAGAATATTAGAAATTAAAACAGAGTCTGACAGAGGATAACAGAAGTGAGAAGGAAGAAAAGAGATCCTGTTATTCTAAACCTCTTAGTTTACAGAAGAGGAAATTAACCACCCCCTTCGGAATTCAGTGACAGAAACGTGATCAGACCTCTGACCGAAATTCCTGATTGGGATTTTTTCCATAACTTCATATGATTTCTATTTCCCATGTTGCATCTAGACACACAGAGTTGTGTCTGCTGTGGGGTCTTGGCATTAAGAAATGTGGGACGTGGAACTGAGAAAAATGTGTAAATCTTTGTAGTATTATTACTTCTTGTATTGTCCTCTTCCAAACTTTCTTTGACTAAGAGCTCATTGTGATCTACAGAACTTAGTAGGAGATGCGCTGGGGCGAGGTGCGGGGCTCACACCTGTCATCCCAGCACATTGGGAGGCAGAGGCAGATGGACTGTTTGAATTCAAGGCCAGCCTCAGCAACATGGCAAGACCTTGTCTCTACAAAAAAACACAAAAAAAATGGCTGGGCATGGTGGCTCATGCCTGTAATTCTAGCACTTTGGGAGGCCAAGGCAGGTGGATCACCTTAGGTCAGGAGTTCGAGACCAGCCTGGCCAACATGGTGAAACCCCGTCTCTACTAAAAATACAAAAATTAGCTGCGCATGGTGATGCAATCCTGTAGTCCCAGCTACTCGGGAGGCTGAGGCAGGAGAATCGCTTGAACCCAAGAGGTGGAGCTGCAGTGAGCCAAGATCATGCCATTGCACTCCAGCCTGGGCATGACAGAGTGAGATTCCATTTGAAAAAAAAAAAGAAAGAAATGAAAAAGAAAAAAACACACAAAAAATTAGCCAAGCATGGTAGCACACACCTGTACTCCCAGCTACTCAGGGAGGCTGAGGTGGCAGGATCACCTGAGCCTGGCAGGTGGAGGCTGCAGTGAGCCGTGATTGCGCCATTGCACTCCAGCCTGGGTGACACAGCAAGACCCTGTCTCAAGAAAAACAAACAAACAAACAACAACAACAACACCAAAAAGAACATGCATTGGTAGCTGCTCTATTTCTTCACTCATTCCATGATGCCAAAGCGGAAGACTCTGGGTGAGACACGGAGCTTTTGGAACGAGCATCCAGCTGGAGGATCTTGACAGAGTCCTGTGACTGAGTGACAGCTGGTGAGACAGTATTGATCCCTATCATCCACAAGGGTTTTGCCTCCTGTGGGCAGCTTGCTTGGGTGGTTGTCCTCATAGAGAGAGGGGCTTCTGAGACCAACTGACCACAGGGAACAGAAGGATGGGGAGGACCCGTCAATCTGCTCATTCACTGCTCACTTCTTCAGTAATTTTTTTTATCATATCTGCCTGTGTGAATAAAAGCTTCAATCTCAGTAATAAAAATCAAAGAGAAAGAGCTCAGCAGGGATTCCTACTAACTTCTCAGCAAGAAATCCAGAAACTGAAGACAACACGCGAGGACCCCCCAAGTTAAAGACACTGTAGGCTTTGTAGCTTCTCGGGTTTTCTATTTCTGTGCCATATTTATGTCCCGCATTCACTAATGCTAAAGTCTCGAAGTAGAAAGTGTCACATGTATTGTCTGTTTTCCAGAGTTAGATCAGGGAGCTAGGTCAGGGTAACATTGTTGCTGTTGCAGATGACACACCCTTATCTTTTGCAAATACATAATTATTTACACTTTAAAAGTGTTTTCTATCTATTGCACATTATTTATATTTGATTAAGAAATAATACTATCAGGTAAGCAAGGAATGGCTGCCCATGTAAAAAACAAATATATTGAGATTTAGAAAAGAATTCAGGTATGTGAATTGGTGGCTCATGGTCTGAATTAAACTCATGGATGTGATTGACTCAGACTGAAGACAGATGAGTGGCTGTTTTTTTCCTGTAGGCTTTCCTTTTATTTTTTAAGTTAATTAATATACTGAAAAAAGTCATAATATCCAGCATTTATAAGGGACTTAAACAAATTTAAAAGAGAAAAACAAGCAACCCCATTAAAAAAGTGGGCAAAGGACATGAAAAAACATTTTTCAAAACAAGACATACATGCAGCCAACAAACATATTAAGTAAAAAAGCTCAATATCACTGATCATTGGAGAAATGCAAATCAAAACCACAATGAGATACCATCTCACACTAGTCAGACTGGCTATTAATAAAAGGTCATAAAATAACAGATAGTGGCAAGGTTACAGAGAAAAGGGAACATTTTATACATTATTGGTGGGGGTGTAAATTAATTGAATCATTGTGGAAAACAGTATGGTGATTCCTCAAAGAGCTAAAAGGTGAACTACCATTGGACCCAGCAATCCAATTACTGGCTATATATCCAGAGAAATATAAATCATTCTATTATAAATACACATGCACATGAATGTTCATTGTAGTACCATTCACAAGAGCAAAGACATGAAATCAACCTAAATGCCCATTAATGACAGATTGGATAAAAAAAATGCGGTACATACACACCATGGAATACTATGCAGCCATAAAAAGAATGAGATCCTGTCTTTTGTGGGAACACGGATGGAGCTAGAGGCCATCATCCTTAGCAGACTAATTCAGAAACAGAAAACCAATTACCACATGCTTTCACTTATAAGTGGGAGCTAAATCATGAGAACTCATGAACACAAAAAGGAAACAGCAGACATTGGGTTCTACTTGAGGGTGGAAGAAGGGAGAGGAGCAGAAAAGATAACTTTTTCACTTTTTAACTGTTCTTCCAATTCCTACTTATGGGTGACCAGCATTATAAGGATTTACCATAGACTACATTCAGACAAATGTGTATGGGCTAAATCTACGTGGATATGTATGTTTCCTGATTCGCAATATATCTTGTAAATCATTTCTATGAGTGCATATGGCACTATCACATTTTTTTCATATGAAGTTACTATGATATTTTGTTTAACCAACAACTTGTTTCTCTTCCTCTCTTAAAGCAGAGTAAGGTGGCTCTGGGTAAGTCTACTTAGGTAAGTTAACTTAGGTAAGTTAAAACCTAAACATCACTTTGTAGTCTTGGATTTGCAGTCTTTAAGTCTGAGCTGTATTTTCATACTTTAAATTTGAATTCCCGTGTCTTCCACACGTGGTTCCCCAGTGCCTGCCACTCTCCAGTGGATTACACCAGAACGGCATCTTCTCTAACCTCATCTCAAAGGAATGTGCAACCTCTGGTTGAGTTTCACACCAACAGTAAATAGTGCAGAAGTTATTCCAAACTCGATCTTTAACTCTAAATTGCTCTTTTTCTAATGAATGCTACCATTGATTCTATCCCCCAAGGGGGAAAAGAAACCAAGTCTATGTTTTCATGTGGCTAAGTGAAGACTACCCTTAATTCCAAATTGAAATCATTGGTTCCTGATGTAAAAACTGTGTATCCTTCCTACATAACTGTCCGTCCTAAATTTTGTATGTATTCACTCATTACGATCTTAGATACACATTTTTTACCTTTGATCAGGTGATCAACATTATTGTCATACACAGTACTAGCAGTTTGTAAAAGGCAGACTCGCAATCGCCTAATGTTTCTTCTCTGCAGCAGATATTCATAAAGAACTTCTACATGGTTAATTACTGACACTGAGGGAAAAGAGTTTTATGATTTTCACCATAAGTAAGATCTCAAGTTGGAGGGGGTGTGTACAGTTCATTACAGAAGCTAGCTAGGTATGTCTAGATTAAAGTATAATGTTGCATACGTATTTCATATCATATCCGTTAGCAGAGTGACCTCACGTCAATGATATGTAATACAATTTGAAAATATTACTTGTGTTTATATCTGTTCACAGTTAAAATGCTGAATGTTTTAAAAATTTCCAAGAATTTTATTGCCTTTGTGTGGCAATAAAATTACAAATTGATGCTATGAATCTTTGAACCACCAATCAAAATCTGAGCGTCTCAAATCAGTTACAGCTGGAATGGATGAGAAAAGTTGGCAACGTTTTTGTGATTCCTAGAAAACTCCTTTTGAAGAGAAACAGCATGCCGTTAGAAAATACTTGTCTTTTAACTGTGTCTACATTTCTCCTGTGTGTAAACTGAATAATTTATCAATTCTTTGGTGTTTTTCACATGTTTATTGAGATCCTCTCACATGGCCATTCCCGAGGGCCTTTTTACCTTGAATTCAACAATCAAATGCATTTAAAAATATACATACTGCATTTATATCCATACGATGTCATGTGCATTAGTTTTTAAATGTAAAATGCATAAAAGTAGAGAAGAACCTAAAAAATCTGTAATTCTACCCCTCAGAGATAACTATCAGCAATAAATTTTTATACATATATTTATATACTCTCCATATAAAGAGGGACTGGATTGTGTGATGGGGATAAATTCTCCTTGAAATCTCAGTGACTTCACACTGTGCTGGGTCAGTGCTTCTCCCTCCCAGAGTGTCCTGTGATTCCCGACAGTGCTGCTCTGCCGGAGGCAACCTGGGGACCCAGGCTGCTTCCTTCCTGACCTTCTGCCACCTCCACCTGCAGCCTCTGACAGCAGCAGTGGAATGGAAGAAGCAATGAGATTCTCGCTGTGTTCCTTCAGTTCCCAGCTTGCTGGCTGGCACTATCCCAGCTCTGTCTTTGTGCAAAAGGACTAGGGCCTGCTGGTGGGTACGTGGCTATTGAGTGAGCGCTCAATCTGCCACATACCAGAAATAATTGGTTTTTAACAAAACTGGCTTTGTGACCTACGTGGTTTTGATACATAAATGCACACATGTATTAACCCATTTGAAAACAGCATCCTATTCTAAGGTACAATTCCCTATTTCACTATTTGACTTACTCAGTTCCCCATTTCATTCTCCTGTTTTAATATAATAAAAAGTATTTTTTGATCTACTTAATAATTGTACATATTTATGGGGTGCATGTGACATTTTGATGAATGTACTCAATGTGTAATTATTAAATCAGGGTGTCTAGACATCCGTCACCTCAAATATTTATCTTTTCTTTGTGTTGTGAACATTTCAAGTCTTCTAGCTATTTTGAAATATGCAATAAGTTATTATTAGCTATTGTCACCTTACAGTGCTCTCAAACACTAGAACTTACTCCTTCTATCTGACTGCATGAATAAACAGCTTTTTGACGAACTTTTCTTTGTGTAAGCTGCTTTGCACACTTTTGAATGTTTTTCTTTGGAACATTTCCTAGAAGTGTAACTACTAGGTGAGTCAAACCTCATTGGATTCTCAACGAAAGCCTCTTGGTGGCATTTGGGGCATTTCCACCCATTGTCCTGAGGGCGTGGCTTATTCAAGTCCACTTGGACACTGTTCTCTGACAACTCTTCTGGGATTTTGGCATCATTTGGTTGAATCACTAACATTCCCTCAATTGCCAAGTTACATACATCTACATAAGATAATTGAGAAATTTATTGTTAGAGAAAGATGTTTTCTTTCTTTCATGGTTTCCATGGGGAGGAATTCCCTTAAACATCTCCCCTAGGAGTAAGAAAATTCTCTCTATTTGAACTTATCCTGCTGGCAAATTTGGAAAGAATCACTGCTTTGTTTTGTTTTGGTTCCTGGCTCAGTGACGCTGTTTCGCCTCTTGGACCTGGGCCTTCTTGGCTGCAAATCTCACCTCGAGCTGGGTTGGGAATGTCTCTGCAACTCTTCCTGCCCTGCCTTGCAGCTGCCTGTGTGGACGACACCAAACGGACATGCTTATCTGAGGGAGCACCAGAGAATCGGAGCACCTCCACCTCTCCTTGATGATCCTGTCTTGTCAGTTTCCCCAAGAAAGAGCATTCCTGTATCCACGCTGTGTGACGAGGGTGACTCGGCATGGAAAGGGGATGGAATGGAGGATTAGGAGTTAACACAGCAGTAAGATCACAGACTGGTCTCGCTGATCCCATAGGTTTGTAAGTACTGGGTCTGTGTGGATGAGGATTTTAAGGCAGGGTCTGAATTAGTGGGAAACTTTGACGATGAGTTATCACCTCCGAGTGATGGCTTGGGAAAGTGTGGCTGGTGTGTGAGGACTGCACCGGCTCTGGCCAGAGCTGCTCAAACCTTCACACCCCAAGTCAGGGTGGGGCTGCAGACCAACCCAAGAGCCGTGTCCCTGGTTCTCACCCTCACTGGATATTACAATCATCAGACAAATGGAAGTAGAGTCTCAGGGCACGGGCAGGGGCATCAGTGTTTTCACTGAATATTGCAATCATCAGACAAATGAAAGCGGAGTCTCAGGGTGGGGCCGGGGCATCAGTGTTTCCTGCACACCCCATTTACCTCCAGTGTGTGTCCAGCTCAAGATCTCAGGTTTGACTTGAAGGGGATCCAACAGGGAGGGGTGAGCCGGTGGGGCTGACCTTCCTGCTTCACTCCCCAGAGCTGTCCCCCCCTTGCTTCTCACCCTCTCTTTCCAACCAGCCTTCTTCACTGATTTGTGCAAGCCTGTGAAGACAGCTCCACTCTGCCCCATAATATCGTGATATGCCCTTGGGAGGCAAACTGCAGGCAAAATGCATCCCCAGCTCCCGGGTCTGAAGTCACGTCCCTGCCCCTCTCCAGCCTCAGAGCTGGGTGTAGGCTCCTGAACTGCACTTGGTTTTCGGCTCTGTGCCCAGTTCCTTAAGCCAGCGGCCTCTGCCTGGTATCGCAGACCCTGTGTTGGTGGATCCATCTGTCCAGTGAGCGGCCCGCCCAGCTCCCACCTCAAGGGATGACGGAGGACCCAAGGTGCGATGCGGGCCCCTTGCACCCCCTGGGCTCATGGCCCACCCTTCTCCCCTGGCTCTGTGCCCTGGGAGCCTATCTCTGTGGATGGGCCTCTGGCTCAAGGTGGGCCACGAGGGGGCTGCGGGACAGCAGAGGTCAGCAGGGTCAGGCCAGCGCCCTCCCACTAAGACTGTGGCTGTGCCAGTGCCCCCCAGCTGCATGTCTCCTTCCCTCAGGTCCTGGTAGCTGCCTTCTTCCCCTCCTCTCGTGGGCCTTGGGTCCTCATGGCCTTGGATATTTACTAGTCCTGGTTTTCTGCATCATCCATGTTTTCCTAAACTTGTCCAATCTTGGTAAATTTTCATTTTATTAACTATCCTTTGCTATTCAGTTCGAATGCTCTGTCTTTTCCTGCCAGGACCTCATCTGCTACACATGTGTAAAATCAATCCGTAAACTCAAAGTGGGAAGGGAAGACGAGGAGGTAGCGCGAATATGACCCAGTGCCCTGAAATCAACATGCACCTGATTAACTATGTGCTTGGACTGGAAGCTTCCAGCAGAAGAAAACATCTACACTTGGCTTTCTGTCTTTGATGTTTCAAAATTGCTTCTTGTCACTTGGAGGAAAAGTGGCAAGTGCTTTTCCTCCTACTGTAAGATGGGGCCCATTAAACATTTTTCATATAACAAAGTTATATAAAGTATATAAAGTAATTCAGAGAGAATATTAATATAGCTATACGTGGGAACTCTGTTTTACACTTATCTGGTATTTTGTTCTTTCATTGAAAAAGTTTATTGTGCACTCAAATTGTTAAGAATAATAAAACCTAAAACCTAAAAACTATTTATTTGGCCTGCTAGGTTCTTAGATGTGGGTAGAAGCCTCACTAGTCAGTGTTCCTCAACCCGTGTTAATATGAAAGAAAATCAAATGTATCTGAATTGTTTAAATATATAATGTGTATTGAAATATTTCCCTAGTATTTTTACATAATAGTTAAGAAAACTGCATCCAATTTAGAAAATAAAATAGTATTGCTATAATGGTATGATGGCATTTTTGGAAAACATGAAGAGAAAGTTGTGTTATTTTCAATCACTTATGTAACCTTTATGATCAAATTGAACTCAGGAATAATGGTCAGGCAGTATAATTGTTCTATGTTTTGAGTGTAGGTACCTATAATAGAAAAATAAATATAATCATCTCTCTAAGATTGTTGCAAAGACATAGGAGACACACTTTGTAAACTTCTGTAAGTGCTAGATCTTTTTATGTCTACTAATTTGAGTGGGCTTATGCAGTAAGCATTCAAGTAAGGACCAAAATAGCTTGGTAACAACAGACACAGTTTTAAACTCTCTGAATTATGAATTAGAGATCTATGGCAGAAGACACTATGAAATAAACTCAAGTAGCATACTCCCTTCAAAATCTGGAAGATGGTGGTCCTGAAATACATATGGTAGGAAGATTTTCTTTTGAGAAAATCCGCATATTATCAGGCAAATAGAATTGGATAACAGAATATATCAGTAAGCTCATTAAATCCTTTAGAAGTAGTTTATTATTTACGTCCTTAAACTAATAAAATATAACACAAAATACTATGAACACAGTGAGTAATAATTGGCAGAATTTAATTAGCTTCAGCTTACCTCCCACCATCCTCACCGTTCATGACACTGGACTATGTCTGTCTTGTCCCCACTGTGCACCTGATGCTCAGCAGGGCTCGTGACTCATTGCAAGTGGTTAATAAATGTGCATTTGGGCCAGGTGCCATGGTTCACGCCTCTAATCCCAGCACTTTGGGTGGCTGAGGGGAGTGGATCTCCTGAGGTCAGGAGTTCGAGACCAGCCTGGCCAACATGGCGAAACCCCATCTGTATTAAAAACAGAAAAAGTTAGCCCAGCGTGGTGGCAGGAACCTGTAATCCCAGTTACTCGGGAGGCTGAGGCCAGAGAATCACTTGAGCCAAGGAGGCGAAGGTTGCAGTGAGCTGAGATCATGCCACTGCATTGTAGCCTGAGGACAGAGAGAGACTCTGTCTCAAAAAAAAAAAAAGTGCATTGGATGGGTGGACCTGTGTATACATTTTCTTCCTCCAGGGAGGGAGACAGTACTCCATGAGGCTCTTGTGTTTCTGCATGTTTTGCAAAGGCACTGACTTCCCTTTGGTCTGGACTATCTTTTCGAGGATGACTGTTTAGTAAACAGCTTTGGAAAATGGTGATAGTGTCCACTTCTGGAGTAAAGCGAAGCTTACATACTGTGCAGCCAAATAAAGTTTCCATCTGGAGCAAAGGCCAGCCATGCTTACTGTTCATTTTAAAAGGTTGAGGGTCCCTAAACTTGGGGCTTCTCTACAGTGAGACAATCTGATGTGGGTACAAGTGTCCTTTGGTCCCCTTCTACTCTCCTTGTGGGAACCAGGCTCAGGGAACTAACATTAAAACCAACACTGATGCTCTGCCACGGTCTACTGTTGTGAACAACAAATTGTCCTTTATCTCTGACCCAGGACTCTCATTCCTGTCTTTTTGCCAGCATCCACGAAACTGTAGCAAGCTAATTTATTATCTTTCAAGTAGGGTACAATCTCAGACTCTTCTCAGTTCTTGTCATATCACAGTTGATGAAGGATGCTAGAAATTCTATTTTATGGCACGAAAAATATGCAAAATAGTGTGTCCTGTTCAAATATTCACTGTCTTCTAATTTTGTGATTACTGCTAGTCCTTGCTTCTCAAACCTTCTTAAGTTTCTGCCGTGGGAGCCTCAGCTCTCTCTTTCATGACAACTCGGGCTGAGGTCTACCATCTTGGTGTCATCTCTAGCCTATGACATCATTGCTTTCCTTTTTTCTTTTCTTCTTCTTCTTTTTTTTTTTTTTCAAAGACAGAGTCTCACTCTGTTGCCCAAGCTGGAGTGCAGGGATGTAGTCATAGCTCACTGCAGCCTTGAATTGGGCTCAAGTGGCTCTCCTGCCTCAGCCTTCCGAGTAGCCCACAGGCATGTGCCACCATGCCCAGCTAATTTTTAAATTGTTTGTAGAGTCTGGGTCTTCTTATGTTGCCCAGGCTAGTATCAAACTCCTGGGCTCAAGCGATCCTCATGCCTTGCTTGGCCTTATAAAGTGCTGGAATTACAGATGTAAGCCACCACACTCAGCTAGGTGAAGAACTTTAGCATTTATTTATAATATTTAAGAAAAAAAATTCAATGTCCTAATAAATGCACAAGTTCAGTGGACAGCTGACTCAGCAACTCTGTCATTTCAGAGTTCAGTTGGAGCATTGGTGTGGTCTATAGTATTTCACATTATTTTGGTTTAGGCTATGTGGCTAAGTGTAAGATTCAGAGAAATTTAAACTCATGAAGAATTTAGGATGGGATAAAGGTCAAGGGTCAAGCCTTTCCAGATACTCCAGCTTTAAATTAGATGCAGAATCAATGAGATTCTAACAAAAATCCCCTGAACACAATTACAAGTCAGATCTTACATTTTCCCCCCTTTAAAAAAAAATCTGGAAATTGCCTTTCTAGACAATTCAGTGAAGGAAATAGAGTGAAGTTATAGGGTCCTCTTGTTTCCATCATTCCCAGAAAACCAAGTCCTGATCTTATCAGACTGGGAGCTCCTCCAGGTGAGCAGAGAGAAATAGCAGCAGGCAAGGATCGGGAAGGATTTGGAATCTTCTCCAGACCTTGCCCCTGTGCGTTCAGGTGAAGGGAAGGCAGGAAATCTTAGGTGGCTGTAGTAGGCCATTCTTGTGTTGCTGTAAAGGAATATCTAAGACTGGGTAATTCATGAAGAAAAGAAGTTTAATTGCCTCATTTTTGCAGGTTGTACAGGAAGCATGGAGGCAGCATCTGCTCAGCTTCTGGGGATGCCACAGAGAGCATAAAATCATGACTGAAGGTGAAGTGGGAGCTGACATCCCACAAAGGGAGAGCCAGGAGTGGGAGACAGAGGGGGAGGTGCCACACACTTTCGAAGGACCAGATCTCACGAGAACTCACTGCTGTGAGGACAGCACCAAGCCAGGGGGATCCACCCCTATGACCAGAAGGCCACACACCAGGCCCCACCTCCAGCACTGAGGATGACAATTCAACATGAGATTTAGAAGAGACAATATACAAACTTTCTCAGTGGCTTTTAAAAATTAACAAAATTAAAATTTAAAATCCCGTGGAGTCTTTCCTTGTTTTTCTTGAATTTCTATATTCCCAGCTCTGATGCATGGAGTGCAAGAGAGTACACATTACAAAAAAGGCTTCTCTCTAAGATATCTTTATAAAAGTTTTAAGAGAGAAAAAGATAAGGATACACAGGACCCTCTGGTTACAGAAACAAGCACACACCAATCTTACACTGATTTGTACAAAGCTCACTCAGGTTGGAAGGTGAGATAAAAGGCACTCTTCACTTTTCGTCAGGGGAACTGAGGCCTGGTTCAAGCCCAGGACTTGGTTCCTTTCCTCCTGGTCACAGAAGAGGAGGTCTCAGGAGAAGGCAGTGGGTACCCTCCCATCTTTGGAGCTGTGGAGTGCAGACGCGTGGGCTGCGGAGACTTTAGCTTACATTTGTTGGCAAAGACTCGGGTCAAGACACAGAAATGCGCTTTGCCTCGTCTAATGCTTAGAAGGCTCTTCCACACGCTGCTGAGATTACACAGGGATTTCACACAAAACCTCTGGGGCTGCCTTGTCATTCACATTTTTTCTCTATAGCGTTTGTACCCAAAGTAACAGTTTCTTAAAAAAAGAGTATTAAGTGAAATAAAAATCTCCAAATCATACATACTAGAATTTTATGTAATTAGTCCTTGGGTGGAGAAATTAGGACTACACCTGGATCCAAGTAACATTTTATTTTTCTGTGTTACAGTGCTTTTGTGATAATTTCTATATTATATTTTCTAAAATTTTGTGTTTAATGGGAAACGGAATGACTAATACAATTGCTTGATTTACTTAAAATTATCTTCAACTAAAGTGCATATACCTGTAAGGCCTAGGTTCTTAGAAAACTCAATTACATCACTCATGATATAGTTACATATTTGAGAATGGGTCCAAATGTTATTTCCAATTTGCTGCTGAAAATATGAACAAAAGAAAATAAAGTAATATGTTTTCCCTAATGATATGAATACAAGTTATTGAAACAGAAAATTCATTTTAAGAAAGAATAAGAATCATTTTTCCCTTTTCTGCTAGATGCCACATATTTGGCTGAGGGCTATGTTGTGTAGTTTCACAAAGTTGCTGAAATCAGCAAAATAAAAAATTCTAATAATTAATTTTACATGCATGATTAAGGAAATTGAGTTCTACAAACCTATAGATTCTAAAAATTAATGAACTGCAGTAAAGGCATGCTTTGCAAGAATGAATCACTTAAAATGTAGAAAGGGTAAAACATAAACAGGCTTTTTGTAACAGGGTTGTTCTCTGAGAATTCCTAGAGGATTTTATGATGCTATTCAAAAATTCTATGGAAAAATAAGTGATACTTTTTAATCAAGATTTTCAATTATAATCTCTCATTTACATGTTAGCAGAAAACTTCTTATAATTGATTTTCATTATTCTTACCACAATTATTGAAAATAAAATAAATGTCTTATTTTCAAAATATTTACCTAATTTAAGTATAATCATATATAAACATGCACACGTTGACAATATATATCTTCATAGAAAATGTAATTTTTCTCTTCTTAATGATAAATTTTTAACCAAAGGTTAATTTACATATCTTCTTCTGTTGTTTTACCCTTGTATGTCTCTGGAGCAATAAAGGCAAATAAAGCACAAGTGGCTATCAGGATGTGAATACTTAATACAAAAAGTTTTGGATCCTACTGCTGATTTCAGAACTGAGTAAGAGCAACAAAACAAGTAATTTCCACCGGTTGCACGCATTTGCCATGTTCTTTGTTTTTACGCTTCCTTGATCCCTATCTCACGTGTGAAGCTCAGAATTGATTGCTGTGTCTTTGTCTTTGTGCCCTATGTTTTGTTGTAAATAACCAAAACCAACTCTAAATACTTTAGGCATAAAACGAAAGTATTGTCAAGGCCAGCTGGGGTCTTGCTACCGCTCATGGCTGAGCTGTTTTCATGCTCTTCTGGGCGCTCATCACCATGGATTTCAACTCCTCAGAAGGCATAGCAAGTCAGCCCTATGCCTTTATAACCCCTCACACTCGAGGTAACAGAACACACGTCTTAGCAGCTTATTCAGGCTATGAGCCCATGTTGTTACGCCAAGGTATAGGGAGAAGAAAGGCCCTCGCTATGGCGCCCTAGTAGGTGGACCATACTCCTCATCTACCTTAAGAGGTCTCCTCGACAGGAAGGAATGTGCACACTCGTGTGCTTGATGGTCAGTGCTACACAGATTCCACTTCTGCTTAACATTCAGCCATTCTTTTTTCCAAAGTTAAAGTTCAAAACAGCTGCTTACACCAGAACTAATACTGTCCTCTCTTATCCACTGAACACTCCTTTTTCCTGTCTACAAGGAGAGACAACTCAATGTGTTGTAAGTTGATGTGCACAGTATCAGGTCTCTAGGGACTAGCTATCTATCCTTGAGTACTGTCAGAATCTTTTTTTTAATATTATGAAACTCACAGACTAGATTATAAATGTAATTATCTCCCACATATGCTATATAAAATGGCAGGAAAGACGCAGAAATAAGTATGGCAAACTAGTTTAAGCACACGTGCACACACATGCACACACACACAATGATGCATGAAAGTAAATGAATTGAAATCTCAATTTTTATGACTCATCCTCAGATCATGAGAGTCTTTATAATATTTCTTTCCCAGTAAGAGTCAGTGTTCTCTTTGTTCTCAAGTAGCTATTTAGATTGTCAGGTTTCTTGATCCATCGAGGTGACACAAATTTATATTTCCAGGGGCTCTGAGAGTTGGGTGTTGCTCCTTGTACAAAGCCCTTGTGGGGTCTGTTAACTGTCCACACACTGGACATGGCCATCTAGGAGTACTTCCAGGGTGTTTCTTTGTCTCCAGTTTCCTTCTCCTGTCTTTCCTGTGCCATGGAACAAACACACTTACATTTGCCTTGAGCTGGCCACAAGTGCTCTGTGGTCCAGGCACAGGATGGGGCCACAGCCCTCCCGTCCCGTGTGTGTGCCTGACCACATGTGATGTTGCTGCTCCTCCCGTCAACAGGCAGAGTCTGTCT
The DNA here is from genome assembly GCF_000001405.40 of Homo sapiens. Classification (NCBI taxonomy): domain Eukaryota; kingdom Metazoa; phylum Chordata; class Mammalia; order Primates; family Hominidae; genus Homo; species Homo sapiens. The sequence continues at coordinate 2,672,690 of NC_000010.11, read as the reverse complement.
CTTCACCTTCACAGGTCTGGGCTGGCCTTAGGACTTGCTTTGATGGTTTGAGACTTTGGACTGTAAGCTTTAGGAGGCTCTGAACTTCTAGGCTTCCTCTCTTGCTGCCATGAAATAGCCGAGTGAACATGTCTGAGCTGGCTTTCGGCAGATGCCTGATCGAGCAGGACCCACGTGACCCAGCTGACAGCCAGCATCCCCATCAGACACCACAGTGAGGCTCTATGTGTCCACCCAGCTGTGGCGAACCACTGGACAACCATTGGCATGAGTTACTCCAGGCAAGTTGAGCAGAAGAACCACCCAGCTGACCCAACCTCAATTTCTGAGCTACTAAATTGTGAACAATTAAATCACCTGTTGTCCTGGGCCAGTTTTCATATGGCTACTTTACACAGGAGTGGGTAGATGGGACACCTCCTCCCCACTCTGGGCTACTTCAGGTGACAAGCTCACCCTTAGCATGCAAGCCTTCCTCCTTGCCTTGGCTTACGTTTAGCATTGAGAAGGGGTTGAGATGTCTCTAGTAGAAGATGCAGAAGAAAGCCTAGGGCTGTTCATCTCAGCTCTGCTGTGGATCCTCTTGGGAGTGCCTTCAAAGGACGAAGGATTTCCCTAGCGGCTCTATGCTGCCAGCTGCATTGGTAGTGTCCACATGTGCCTGCCTTGGTGGCCATCTCTGTGATGGGTGAATAGGTCAGCCAAAGTCTGAAGCTGCAGCTCAGCTAAGTCCTGAGGCTCTCACAGCAAGCTGCTGCCACCCTGGCCTGTATCGACAGGGAAGGGGACATCTTGGTCTGTACCTTTTCCCTCCTCTTATTTTACAAATTGTTCAGAACCCAGAGGAAGCCTGGTTTCACATATCGACTCTGCCCCAAGCTAGCCGCAGTGTGACAAGGGGTAGGAGTGATGCCACCAGCCTAGCCTCCACACTCTGTGGGCTTTTGGCACAAAGCTGTGGCCTCCTGCAGAGACTGCACCTGCACATGTCAAGGATGTGGCCCTGGGCAAACCACGGTCACTGCTGCAGCTTGGAGTACACAGGGGTGACCAAGAGTCTGCAGGTCGTCTCTATGCAGAGAAGATGATGGACATTCTTAGTATAAATCATTCTTGTGGCAGAAAACTAGGTGGGGAGGGATTTCCCTGGGACTTGGAAATAAGACGGGTGGGTTGGGAGGCTATGAGACTCGCATAGTTATTGCAAGCAGACAGCCCAGGTTCCTCCACAGGGGGTCCAGGGGGCAGGAGAGTTGTGAGCTGCTAGTTTGTTCACTCCCCACATCTGTAGTGTCTGCAGTAGCAGTGCTCCTAGAGCACAAATTCACAGAGCCTCTCGGAGATGACACAGGGAAAGAGGTGACCCCACTCACAGTCCTAGGAGAGGATTCATTCTAGCTGCAGCAAGCAGGCCATAGGCATGACATGGGGAGTGTTGTCTGTGTGCGGTTGTGAGCACTTGTGTGTAAAAAGAAATGCAAGTATTTTTTTAAAAAAGTATATCTTGGGGAGCCAGGCCTATAGACCATGGGTGAGGGAAAGGCGATCTCCTGTTCTCTCCTCTGTGACAATTGCTTGGTCCCCACAGCAGACAGAGATAGTGTGTGTGCAGGCAGAGGCGGGGCAGGGACGTGACGGCCAGATGTCAGGGCACATATGGTGGAGAACGCTGGACTTTTACAACCTGCCCATCTTATTTCCAAGTTCTTGGAAATACACACTCCCAGATTCTAGGCACGCTCAGGTTAACAATCCCCATGGGAAAAAGTGACTCTCTTGCAATAGGCAAGTGGGCATTAGGAGCTCTTTAACTTAATACCAAATTTTATCTGACCTCATTTTAAACATTTCAAATTTGTAAAATAGGAAATGTCAAGTATTCTTCTCTACCAACCAGGAAAGACTGACAGTGATGTGAGATCTGGAGTCCAGGAATATATAGGAACAGATGTGGGGAAAGTCTGTAATTACAGTGCTTAATCATCAAGAAAAAGGAACTTACCCTACGTCTGAAGAGGGCAAGCGGAGATTCTTCACAGCTTCTCCTTCTCGTGTGTGAAAAATTGAAAAGACAAAGTTAATAACAGCCTTCCTCAACCCACTGTGCGGTCCTTGTTCTGGATACTAAAATTGAAATTTCAGCAATTTCCCTTAGGTCTTTTTGAGAATTACCATCAATTGCATTCATATGCATTTCTACTCTGCAATGCTAATGCATTTATTTCCTTATTTGTTTTTAAACTGTGAAGAACGCATAATTTAAGCCTTGCAAAGTGCTTGACATGCATATATATTTTGTTCAGACCTTTATCCTATTTGTGACTGTGATTATATGGCTATCAAAGGTAAAAGAAACAGGCAGTGAGAATATAATTGAAGGCCTTAGAACGCTTCCATCAGCAAGTCAACAAGCGTTATTGAACAAGCAGAGTTATTCTGAATGCATTAAAGTGTAAGTGGATCAAAGTTGGAAATATTTTAGATAGGTTTGGTTTCTTTTTCTCTTATCTGAAGAGCTGAGATGTTTTCCCCCCCAAAAAAACGCCATTATGTCCTCACCCTGAAAATCACCTCATTTCCACTGGCTGCAAATCACAGGCTGGCTCAGTTTGCACTGCTGAGAGTGTGTTGCTTTCTTTCTTGAGTCCTGGACTAGTGACCATGGATGCCTTAATAGCAGCACTATTTTGCGCTGCAAGACAAACAGCTAATTGTGTCATAAGAGACCAGTTCCTGAATTGCAGCCTACTACATTTTTATAGGGAAGAAAATTGATGAAGTGACGATGGAAATTCTGAAAGATAACCAGATGTTACCTTTTTGCTATTGTGTTTCCTTCCTTCCTTCCTTCCTTCCTTCCCTTCTTCTTCTTCTTCTTCCTTGCTTCCTTCCTTCCCTTCTTCTTCTTCCTTGCTTCCTTCCTTCCTTCTCTTCCTCTTCCTCTTCTTCTTCTTCTCCTTCCTTCCTTCCTTCCTCTTTCTCTCTTGCTTGCTTGCTTTCTGCAGTAAAAACTTTTCCATGATTGACTTGACCATTATTTACCCTCTTAGTTGAAGAAAGAAAAGATTTTTGGATTTGTGGCAGTGAAGAGAAGGGGCAGCAAAAGATGAAAGTATTGGGGTGAATATCAACAAGATGAATTCTGCTTTTCTCAACCTCTTTTTCAGGTACATTTTCTCTCTGGACTTACCAAAATATGAGTAAAAGAACACGTAAACGTGAATGCAAGGGTCCTTGACCTTCTATGGATTAAGACTGATTCTCAAGTTTATTTTCTTATAGTTTATAAGGAGGTTCCATGGGTAGATATAACATTTTATTTCATTTGCTCTCTGTATAAAGCTCTGAGAAATATTAAGTATTTTCCTATAGAATTGATTCATTCTGTGACCCCTTTTAGTATCTTAGCATGTTCTTGAGTGGAAAATGGAGCCAGAAATGTGTGCAGTGTGGTCCTGTGTGGTAGAATGCTGAATGCTTTCAGAGACAAAAGGATAGACATTTCCTGGGCCTTGTCATTTACTGGCCTATCTAGCAGGCCATGGTGAGTAAAAAAATAACTCTCCTTGCCTGCTACTTATTAAGTAAGTGAAGGTTTCTGGGGCAGTCAATTTTTGGAGTGAAGAGAAAGTTTGAGAAAAAAAAGATTTAAATATATAAATACAAATAAATATGTATGTATATATACACACATATTTTTATATATCTGTGTGCATGTATATACATAGATTTAAATTTAGATTTAAATTTGTGATTAATTTTGAGCTTAAATATATATATATACACACACACACACACACTTATGTGTGTATTAAAAGGCTGCAGACTGTATAAATCTCTCTGTCTTTAAATGAGTTGTTCTTACATTATCCTTCATAAATGCTACACGTACTAAGTGCTAAGCACTAAGGGAATGGGAACTAAACAGACATGGTGCCTCCTTTCAGTGAATTTGCGATCTCACTGGGATTAGGAAAGGCGTTACGGGGAGACTCTCCGTAACAGAGGGAGAGCATTCTCACCAATGTCCCCGCCGAGTCTGTGCGAGGTGCTCTGTCTCGAGTACCATGTCCTCATTATATCCCTTACTGGAAAGGAGGAGCATTATCTCATGTTATGCACCACAGTTTCTTTAAAAACTTAACTGATGAAGGATTTCTGGGTCATTTTCAGTTTATGACTATATTAATAAAGCTACTATAAATGCACACGCTTTTGTCTGAAATAAAAGTTTTACTTCTCTGGCATAAATACCTAGGTTATATGACAGTTGCATATTTAGTTTTTAAGAATCTGCCAAATTGCTTTTCCAACTAGTTGTACTATCTTACATTTCCATCAGCAATGTGCAATTGATCCAGTTTCTCTGCAACCTCATTAGCATTTAGTGTTGTTGCTTTTTAAACATTTTACGTATTTTGATAAGATGTTTACATTTTCCCACTGGTTAATAATATCAAACAATTTCTCTTGTGCTTATTTGCAATTTGTATATTCCCTTCAGGAGTAAAATCTCTTTTTATATGTTTTTCCATTTTCTATTAGGGCTGTTCAGCTTTAATTCTTGAGTTTTGAGAGTTATTTAAATATCCTAGTTACTAGTCCTTTGTTGCAGACGGAGTTTGCAAACATTTATTTCCCACCGCGTAGATTTTCTTCTAATCTTATTAAGCGGGGACTTTGCAGAGCAAAGTTTTTAATCTTGGTGAACTCCAATTTAACATTATTTCCTTTTGTGCATCATGCTTCTGGTGTCAGGTCAAAAACTTCTTTGATTTCTCTCACCAGTTGTATGCAATTTTCAGCATATAAGTCCTGTACATGTTTTGTTAGGTTTACAGAGGTTGTTGCTTTTTTGAGTAATTTAAAAGGTATTATATTTTTAATTTTATTGTTTACATATTTATTGCTAATATATAGAAAGCTAACTGATTTTAGTGTGCCTGTGTTGTACTTTGCAGCCTTACTTAACTCACCTCTTAGTTCTAGGAATTTTGTTTTGTACATTCTTTGGGATTTTATATGTAGACAATTATGTCATCTCCAAATATAAACAGTTTCATTTCTTCTTTTTCAATTTATATACTGCTTATTTCTTTACTTGGCAGGCTTGACTTACTGCACTGTCTAGAACCTCTAATACTATGTAGAGTAAGAATATTGACATATGATCATCTTGTTCCAGATCTTGGGGGAAAGCATTCAGTCTTTCATTTTTAAGCAGTAGATTTTCTTATAGCTTCTCTATTATTGAGTTGAGAAAGTTACCATTTTTTTCACCTTTTGAGTTTTTAATCATAAAAAGTTGTCAAAATTTGTCAAATACTTTTTCTGCATTGATTAATATGATCATGTCATTTTCTTTTTTAGTGTGTTAATAGGGTGGATTACATTGATTTTTCAATATTGAGCCAGACCTACATCCCTGGAATCTGGACTATCACTATATACTATATACAGAGAGTACAGCCTGATCAAGTGAGTGATATGTGTATACATACACACACACACACACACACACACATATACACTATATAGAGAGAGTACACCCTGACCAAGTGAGTAATATGTATATACATACATACATACACACACACACATATATATACTATATATATAGAATACACCCTGGCCAAGTGAGTGATATGTATATACATATACACACACACACACACATATACTGTCAAATTCTATTTGCCAATATTTTGTTAAGAATTTTTGTTTTCCATGTTCATGGGAACTGTTAGCCTTTGGTTTTCTTTTCTACACTGTTTTTTTCTGGTTTTGTAATCAGAGCAATGCTTGCTTCCTAAAATGAATTGGGATGTGCTCCTGCTTGCATTTTCTGGAGGACTTTATATACAATTGGTGTTAATACTTTAAACATTTAGTATGTCTCCAGTGAAATTAACTGGGTCTGAAGATTTATTGTTTGGATTTTTTAAACTTTCCATTTCAATTTCTTTAGTAGTCATGTGCTATTCAAACGATCTATTTTAAACTGGTTGAGCTGTGGTAGTTCGTGTTTCAGGTAGTTCAGTACTGTGGGTAATTAGGTAGTTGTGGTAGTTTGAAAAATTTGTCCATTTAATATAATTTGTTACATCAACGTGTGTGGAATTGGTTATAGTGTTTCTAAAGTACAGTATCTTCGTAATGTCTACAGGGTCTGTGGCAATATTTTATTTATTTCCTGATATTAATAATTTGTGTCTTTTCTCTTTATTGTCAGTCTTGCTAGAGTTTGTCAGTTTTCTTAAACTTTTTAAAGAAATATGTCTTTGTTTATTTGATTTTCTGTACTGTTTTTCTCTTTTCAATTTTATTGGTTTCTGCTCTTATTATTTCTTTCTTCCTCCTTGCTTTGTGTTTATTTTGTGCTCCTTTTTCTAGGTTGAGTCGAGAGCTGAAAATATTAATTTGAGACTTTTCTTTTTTTCTAATACATGCATTTATCAATACAAATTACCCTCAGTATTGCATATCAAAATTTTTGATAGGTTTTAAATTCATTTTTTGTTCAATGCAATCTATATTTTGCTTTCTCTTTAGCTATGAGTTATTTAGAAATGTATCTTTTAATATAGAGAAGAATACACTTTTATCTACTTATATCATTATAGTTGAGATTACATTCTTGTAGACAATATATAATTGGATCATAGATCTAATTAACCCTGTCAATTTCTGTCTTTTACTTGATGTATTTAGGCCATTTATATTTAGTGTAAGTACTGACATAGTGGAACTTGAGTCTGTCATTTTGTGTGTTGTTTTATATTTGGTATTTTTTTTTCTCTGTTTTGTCACTTTTCTGTGAGTAATGAGAATTTTGTATAATTCCATTTTGATTTATCTATACCACTTTTAAGTGTCTCAATGTGTACAACTTTTTTAAGTGTTTGCTTTGTATATAGTGTATATTACATTACTTATTGCAGTATATTAATGTCATCATTTTGCCAGTCTGGAGGAAGTAAAACAGCCTTTTACTTTTCTTTACCCTCCTTCATTTATAATATAGTTGTCTTAAACATATTCTCTACATATTTAGGACTACATCAGACAGTACTGTAATTTTTTCTTCAATCATAAAACGTAATTTAGAAATCAAAAAAGTGAATGAAGGAAATCCTATTTTATTTATCTGCATTTTTGTTTGTCTTATTTTTTTCTCGATGGTTAAAGTTTCCTTGTTTGATTGTTTCCTTCCTGTTTACATAAGTTCGTTTAGTCATTCTTTTGGAGTAGGTCTGCTGGCAACTAATTTTCTTGGTTTGTATACATTGAAGAGTGCCCTGATTTCCACTTAATTTTTGAAGGTTATATTTTTAGTGGGATTCTAGATTGATATTTCTTTGCTCATCTGAAAAATATGGTGCTATTTCCTGCTGGCCTGCACAGTTTCTGTCACGGATACTTTGTAATTTTTGCCAGGTGATTCTAACATACCAAAGTATGCTCGTGCTTGTCTTTTTCATTCAGCTTAAATTCATCCTAGTTCTTGGCATGGAAAGTAATTTTTTATTGAAGGCTGAACATTTTTATTTGATGTCATGAGATTCTAGACGTATTTAATGCTTCTGACTTGACAGCTGCTTTTGGACACTATGCTGGCAAAGGAAGGGGAAGCACCGCTCATTACAGCCACGTGTAGTTGGATGTCTAGGTTCCCTACTCAGTGTCCATTGATACTGAGGCGGACGTCTTGTTACTGGGGGCAGGTGGGCACTCTAGCTCCCCATGTGATCTCACTGTCATCACAGTGGAAGTGACCTCATTATCCCTACACAGTGGTTAAAGTTCTGATTCTCCTCTGACATCACCCTAATGGATACTAGGCAGGAAATCCTATCACTGTCGGATGGAGGCAGAAAACTAGGTCCCCTGCTGTGGTGCTGGGGCTGATTAACAGCCAGCAGGAATGAAAGTCCTAGCTTCCACCTGATCTTCTCTGACATCACTCTAGCGGGGGTCTTGGGACACCTCATTACAGCCTTGTTCTTCTCTCAGTCTTTGCTGGTGGGGTGGTGACGGGACCACACATTTCTCCGTGGTGTTTGTCAGGAGTAGAACAATCATAGTCTAAAATGTTTCTGTCCTTGTAGGCTTCCCTTTTCCATATTTTTAGCGGCGGTGGGGGTGAGGTTTGTTCCACACCTATTGGTGTTTCTGAGTTGCCGGATTCTTCAATAAGTCTCAAATATATAAGATAAAAGAAAATCCCAGGAAATATGCCATTGTGTTTTGTCTTGGATCCTAATGTCCCTAGGTCAACTGTCTTCTTCTCTTCCCCTTTTAGAACCTTCTTATGCTCATTTTATATGCTCATTTTATATAGAATACTTGGGAGTTTTATTTGTACTTTGTGCAGGGAATATGCAAAAGTATGTCTTGTCTTATTGTGGACTGTTTTTTGCATTTCCCTGTTGTATTAGTCCACTTAGGCTGCCAAAAATAAAGACCATAGACTGGGTAGTTTAAAATATAAATTTATTTCTCTCAGTTCTGTGGTCTGGAAGTCCAAGAACAAGGCGTCAGCCCATTCCCTTCTTGGTGAGGGCCCTTTTCCTGGTGTGCAGATGGCCACCTTCTCCTTCTGTTCCTCACATGGCCTTTTTTCAATGTATATGTAGAGAAGGCTAGCTCTGGTGTCTCTCCCTCTTCTTATGTGGCCACTAATCCCATCATAATTCATAATTTTAAAAATTATAAGTTAAAAAATTAGCAGTATTTCATCTTTTCTCAAAGTTGCATAACCACATACATCAAATTCCAAAACAGCACCTTAAAGGAGAACCCAAATATAATAATTGAATGGTCCAATTTCAGGCTGACATACTGTACTGTGGGGAATGAGTACTGCAGACACCACGAACCTGCCTTGCAGTTGTCCATGTGTCTGCACAGGACAAGATATGGCCATTTTTCCCCCAAACTATTTATTTTCTCACTTCTTTATACATTCTTAATGTAATAAATGACTATTTCCCTGAAGGGCAAAAATGGATAATAGCTTCATTATTTGAACTTGGGACAGAGATATTTTCTTCAGTTGTATCTTGGAAGGGGTTGAAGAAGATAGGTGTACCATCTTTGTGACTTTGATATAATTTGAGTTTTTTGGAAATGCCTGTTCCATTGCATTTGCATACATTTAAAGCTGAGCACTTAATTAGAAGATTTAGACATCAAATCTATGACCAAATGAAAGCATTCTTGGAGGAAAGATACATGGTTACAATTTTAGGCCCTGAGAGTGCTTGTGTGCCAACTTACCTAGCTCAGAAATTCTGATGTATTTCTTCACTTGAATTTCATATACAATAAAAAAACACTTCTAGGTTATTTATCCACAAAATACCAAGTAAATTGTTAACTTTTCTCTTCAATTAGTATTATTAAAATACAAGTTGACTGTTTCATTAGACTCGATTCTGCCACTCCTTTTTAAATGGAAATTTCCACCAAAACCTCAATTGCAAATTGCATTTTTGAACTGTGTCTTAGTCTATTTATTCAGCAAATGTTTCTGTAAAGCTTTTATTCTTTGTTTCTTTGTCTTCTTTTTCCCCTTTTTTATTTCTTCCTTTTAAAAAATATTTCAGGAATATCCATTATTATAAAGGTAAAGTTTGTGTCAAATCTTTCTTCCAGGAGTTTAAAGGTTATTGTGGTATTAAATAAAAACACTAATAATTATAATAGAATATAAAAGGGAGAGAGACATCCTCTAGTTGGAGGCCCAGAATAGGTACAGCTGAATTAATGTTTCATGGATTATGTCATTCTGGTTGGTTAGGGTGCCTGTTTTGACTGGTGGTTACCTAACCATCATCTCCTGTTAAATATTTCAAACGTCAACTCAGGGAGGAGGAGACTTTTTAGTGTATAAGTAGAAAAGGTGCTTCAATTTTTCTTTAACTTTGTGAAAGGAAATTAAAAATGGAAATAAGATCAGAATAGTAGGTAGGGTCACGGTGTGTCTGTCAGTTGAAAAATGACAATGGGAAACTTGGACAATAATCTACAGGAAAAGACAAACTGTGAAAGTATTTGAATGAGAAAGTGACATAACCACAGCTATCACTCAAGATAGAGCTAAAATAAACTTTTTTAAAAAATGGAAAATTTAAACTAGAAAACACTGGTAAAATTCCTATGTTAATATATAAACACAAATGCATACGAGTGCTTCTTGAGGCTTTGGAAAATAGACAACTAAGGATTTTGTTTTCCTCTTCAGGTTTTCATGGGAATATTTATACTTAGTGTTCAACATGTTTCAATGTTAGCAAAGTAGATAAAGATTATTTAGGGTTCTTTTTCCCAGCTTTATTTTGGCATTATTGATAAATAAAAGTTGTATGTATTCAAGGAATGCAACATTTTGATTTGATATAAGTACATAGTATTCTTAATATCATATTATAATTAATGGGTAAACTGACTTAGAAATCCAACATGAGCATGAAACACTCCTAGACTGCAAAATATTAAAAAAGACTTCTAGGTTTATTACTATTGTTTTGCAAATTAGTCAACATCTCATGCAGGTTAAATAAAGAAGTAAGGCAAATTGAAGGAAGAGAGATACTATTTTTGTTTTGTTCCTTGAGTTGGTAATAGAAATGAATCTATGTGTTCACTAATATGATGACTTATAACCTGTCTTCTGTTGAACAATGTAATGTAGTTCTATTTTTCATAGGATTCTTGGTTTTCTAAATAAAGATCGTACTTAAAAATTTTGGATGATGTTTTATATGGTCATCTTATTTTTCTATTTCACTATACTGACAAAACATGAGGCATTAAAAAACAACCCACTTTAAAAATACAATGAAAAGCTGATTATATATGTAGGAAAGAAAAATCTTCTATATTAGCATGAACAAATATTTCTGGCAATAAAGTCACAAAAATTAAATCTTAAATATAATAATCTTCAATATAATAATATGATGTGTTCCGTCCACAGCAGGTTTTGTTTTGCTAAACTATTTCCTAATTGTTTGCTCCCAGGAATATATGACAGTTGACAAAGGAAGGATGAGAATTAAAAGTACATGCACAATCATAGTTGATCATTTTAAACCAAGCCTAAGAAAAACATTTCTTATATATATTCTGGATAAGTAAATGATAAAATCTAATGATACTGTGTTGATAAATAGAAAAGTTAATCTTTAAGTTAGCAATATAATAAAATCTTTTTCTATTTTTCTGTATCATATGTTTAATATTTGCCAGTCTTTTAGTTCTATTTCTTGTATAGAATAGTCTCCAGATATTTATCTATTACACCATGAGTACAGAGGACTAGTATCTTATTCACATGTTCACCAAGCCTATGATTGTCATTTTATAATATTCTGCAGAATTTACTTTGCTATGTAACATAATTACTATGCTTTGATGAAATGTAACTGACATCAGTAGAAATGATACACATCAGATGAAATGAACACCTGCTGGAGGCCATCTAGTAACATAATACTGAAGGTGACCCAATGCAATTACTCTGCCCACACGAAGATTTTTATTAGCTCCCATATTATTAGCAAAGGTGTAAATAATTATATGGTAAATATTGGCTCATCAGGGATAACAATGCACTAATAAAGTGCTTCAATGATTCATATTTCTTTTCAAAGTGCCCATATTATGGAAACAACTTCAGAAATTCTGAATTACAGTCCTCAATATGCCACTTAACAAGTTTGGAGAAATTTATATAATTTTTCAAAAGACTATTTTTTTCTTAAGAATAAAACTTTAAAAAAATCTGACTATCTCAGAGTGGATTCTTAATAAAACAGAGCTAGGAGTGAAAATTTACCATACTAATGCTCTAATGGGGAGTGCAAACCCAGAAAGCCAGAGGAGGGAACAAAGGAAGAGGGAGCAGAAAGTGGGGAGAGCAGATATAAGGGTGCATTCTCTGGCTGGCCAGGGCTTTGTGACAAGCACAGCTCAGTCTGAGCGGGGCATCTGCACAGGGTCGTATGAACTGTGGACTTCAGGAAGTCCATCTGGGGAGGTGAAGGGAAGTAATTTATTCGTGAGCCTCTTCTCTCCCCCATGCTCAAGTTGTTCTCTGCCCAGAGGGTTAATTTTCTCGCAAGTTCAAGCTGCACCACCCAGACTCTGCAGGCAGTCCCTAGGAAGCATGCAGCTCAGGTGTCCACACATACCAGTCCCCGGGAGCAGCAGGAGTCCCTGGCCCTCAGCACTAAGTGTGCGGGTCCCTTGGTCTGTGGAGTCACCTGTCCTTTTCTGCCTCCGACAGTGACTGTCGAGGTCGCAGGGTGCTGCAGGAGAGGAGTCTTAACCACGCAGTCTATCTCGGAGCATAACAGAGTCCGCTATCATCACTTTGCTATTCTCCCAAATCCTGCCTACATGTAGCATTTCTTCTTCTCTTCCAATGAATACTCTATTTAATTTTTAAAAAGCCCAAAATGTTGTTCTTGAAATTTTAGGAAATCTTATTAATTTTAAAATATGCCCCATCAGTTAATCTTCAGGACCTTCCAGGAGGGGTTTCGATGGCCGTTCCCTTCAGGGAAAGCCACTGCGAATGAATGGCTAGGGAGGACATTGTCAGTGCTAATGTCCATTAATAATGACATGCCTCAGGGAGAATTCTTTACAACAACCTGCAGTAGGCCCAGATGTCCACGTGTGGAGGGTGGAGAGCTTATGAGTGAAGGTCTCCAAGGGGCAGTGTGGGAGGGGTCGTTGTTTCCACACTTGCAGGAATATCTCCTTTCATTTCACTCTTCCGTGCAAAATACATGAATTTTATGTATTTCTCAGTGACTGTGCGAGTTTATTCCAAGGGTTGGTACTTAGTATTCATTGCTATTTCTGGGATGCCGCTGCTGTTAAAAGTATTTCTTCAACAGGAAGGAGAAGTCAAAGTGCATATGGGCACTTTTATTTTTTTCCACAAAAAAGATCTCCAATATCCAGGACACTGATTTGATATTAGGAAGTAAGATATTTTCAAGTATGAGTACAGGTAGTGTGGAAGGAAAAGAAACTCACCAGTGTGCCCAGAAATGCATAATACTCCTTAAGACTAAAGCATAATTTTTGTAGGACTAAATGTATGCATCATGGCAATCATTTTATCTTTGCTTTTTGTGAATTTTTATTTGTTAATTTTGCATGAGTTTTGTTTCGAGTTGGAGAGCTTTTTTCATATAAAATAATGAAAACAGAAAAAAGAGATGATTTTGCATATAATTAGTGAAGAGAGATTCAAAATGTGAAGAACTGGAAAGGCAGGAAAATTTCCTGGAAATATCTGAAAGGCTTTGCTCACTTCTCACATGAGATAATCATTTTATTTTAACAAGGGAGGCAGTTATTTTACAATAAAACACCTCTACGGCTGGAATTAAATTTGAAAAAGAGATTTTGAATATGCATCCCTAATGCATGTGGTGTCAGTTGTATAATCTCGAACACTTAGCATGTTCTTACTCAAATCAGTTTGGAACAAACTGAAAAAGACCAAAGAGAGGCAGGTGCAGAGCAGGCCATCACCCACGCCACAGGGGACGCGGGGGTGGAGGAAGTGACACCACCTGTCTCCTCTGTGGTTTGCTCCACACCTGAGAAAGAGGACAATGTGTCCACCCAGTCTTAGGTAGCACTAGAAATCTGTAGGTCTCCCCTGGTAAGGCTGTGCCTCCAACTTCACTAAAAGTGAAACAGAACAAAATACTCCCTGTCATTGTGGGGGGCAGAAAGCACAGAGCTAGGCTGTGCTTACTTCCTCCTCTCAAATCATGAATGGGTGAGTCCACCTTCCCTGTCCAGGAAGAAGTCAAAACAGAGAGGATCTGAGACATCATGCCAGACAATCTCCCTGTGTGTGTGGAATTCAGGTACGGGCTGCTCTGGTTGGAAACACAGGGTTGGGCAATGTTGATGTGTGTGTTTAGAGATTGAACAAAGAACCCCTAAATTCTTTGTTATTCATGCTTACCTAAATTAAATTAAGCATTTTATACCAGTAAGTCAAGTCACAAAACAAGCAATTTGTTTTATCAGCCTCGGAGTTCAATCTTTGGTCTCTTCTTTCCTCTAGCTGGATGTGGGTGTCAGACACATTCAGAAGATGCTGCCTCAGTTGGACTTAATCATAAAACAACGTTCTCCAAACTGCTTAATGTGAAAGCATTTATTGGACTTTGTGAGTCTTTTCAGATAACTAATTTAATCAATTCCCAATTAATCCAGAATAACAGGCTGAATATTCATTCACCTCTGTGGCCAAGGTCCTACTCTCCAGCAGTGATCATTGTTTAGATATTTAGAAGCCATGGCCAGTCACACCTTGCTCAGGCTGCTAAAGAAAGACAACCCCCAGAAGGCTGAGGCAGGTGGATCACCTGAGGTCAGGAGTTCGAGACCAGCCTAGCCAACATGGTGAAACCCCATCTCCAATAAAAATACAAAAATTAGCTGAGTGTGGTACCGCACGCCTGTAATGCCAGCTACTCAAGAGGCTGAGGCAGGAGGATTGCCTGATCCCAGGAGGCAGAGGTTGCGGTGAGCCGAGATTGTGCCACTGCAGTCCAACCTGGGCGACAGAGTGAGACTCTGTCTCAAAAAAGATGAAAGAAAGAAAGAAAGAAAGAAAGAAAGAAAGAAAGAAAGAAAGAAAGAAAGAAAGAAAGAGAGAAAGAAAGAGAGAGAAAGAGAAAGAAGAAAGAAAAAGAAAAAGGAAGAAAGATAGGAAGAAAGGAAGAAAGGAAGGAAGGAAGAAAGGAAGGAAGGAAGAAAGAAAGAAAGAAAGAAAGGAAAGAAAGAAAGAAAGAAAGAAAGAAAGAAAGAAAGAAAGAAAGAAAGAAAGAAAAGAAAGAAAGGAAAGAAAGAAAATAAGACAACCCCCTCTAGCGACACGTGAAAAAGGGCTTATTCCAAAACAGCAAATAAAGTTTAGTTTTCAGGATCCTCTGTGATTCACTTCTGTAATGTAAGAAGTAAAGCATGTTGTGTAGGGATCAGAAACAAGATTTTGTTTGTTGTTCGTTTGTTTTTTCTGCGTATTTGCAAATAATCTTTTTCCCTACCCCTCCATGGACTTGAAAGGTTGCATATATATATATATATATATATATATATATATACTTTTTTTTCCCTGATAATAGTTTTCTTTGAGAGTTTGACATTCAAGCATTGTTGTGCTCTTCCTCTTCCTAAGAAACACAGTTGCTATGGAAATGTTCCTTATGCCTGTTTATTTATGTACCACATGAATCTGCAGAAGAGACTCACTGAACCTCCATGAGGTCCTTGCACGCCATTCCCTCCACTGCCATTTGGGATCCAGGTCAAGTCCTCCTATCCTATGGCGAATCTGTTGCACAGGTTCTTACTGTTCAAATATTTTCGAACTAGACTTAGGTATTTCTTTCTGCTGCTGGGTGTGTCGTTTGGAATGATGAATGGAGACGTGTCAGATGGAGTTGACGTTGTTCTTTTTGTTGCAGCCTGGGTCCCTGCGGCAGGTGCTGTGCCCTGGAAGCCTTGCAAGCTGCTTCTCATCGCGGGAGCTCGGTATCACCCTTCGTATCTCGGTTCGTGTTTTTCTTTTCCACGTTTCTCAACCTTCCATCTGCAGTGGGATCCAGTGACTAAGAAAGCATGACTTGTATGTTTAGAAAGTGATGATTTGCTTTGTCTCGCATTATACAGGGCAGCTGTCCCGTTACATACAAGTGTTTTGACAAGAATAAAGTTGCAGTCACCATGAAAATCATCTCTTCAGACAGAAAGGGGAGGGGCCTCCTCACTATCTATGTGCAGTTTAAGAAAGAATCTGGCCGTTGGATTTATAACTATATAGAAATTGTTGAGGGACTTTGAAAGCACAGGAAATAGCCTATAATATAATCAGATAAATATGAAGTAAGTAGAAAATAATGCATACATACAAATTTAATCAGATAAATATGAGGTAAGTATGAAACGATACATGCATACAAATTTAATCACATAAATATGAAGTATGAAACAATGCATACATACAAATTTAATCAGGTAAATATGAGGTAAGTATGAAACGATGCATGCATACAAATTTAATCACATAAATATGAAGTATGAAACGATGTATACATACAAATTTAATCAGGTAAATATGAGGTAAGTATGAAACGATGCATACATACAAATTTAATCAGATAAATATGAAGTAAGTATGAAACGATGCATACATACAAATTTAATCAGGTAAATATGAAGTAAGTCTGAAATGATGCATACATACAAATTTGGGTACAACTTTCAGTGGAGTCATTCAAGAGTTCACATTATTCATTGCTATTATTTTAAAATTATCTTTTGCAATTTTTTTAGTTGCCTTCCAAAAACTCCGTTTTGAAAGAAGTCCATGCTTGCATGTGTATACAAAGTAGATGAGATATTCATGCCCACATTTGGCAAAGAAAGCATATTGACCTCAAATTCGTCAATGCCATTTTGATAGCAATGAAGATTCACATTTATCAGAAGCTGCACATGTGCCAGGCACCGCTCTAAGCAACCTGAGGGCATTAACATGTTTAGTTCTCACCACAGTCCCAGCCTCACGTTGCTTTTATTCCCATGTTACAGGTGAGGAAACTGAGGCTTGAGGAGTTTAGAGAACTTGACCAAGGAGATGTAGCCTGTCCTTGGACCCAAGGAGTGTAGTTTTTGAGTCTGTGATCATAAGCAATACAACATACTACCTCTCTCAACAATCAGGACACATGACATCGATCAACTGAGTTGAATTTTTTCATATTGTCCATAAATTTGTTCATAAACTGGGAAAGAAAGACAATATCAAAAGACGATATTTACAAGAATAAACTGTCTTACTCTATGCCCATAAGCAAATTTCTGTAAAATGTATGCTTCTTTATAGGAAACCTACAAATGGTGAACTTATCTCAAAATGTAATAGATCTGAAAAATTATAAACCATGGACTAATTTTTAAAATTTCAATAATTACTTCTATTTATGGCTTTGTACTTGAATTACTTTTTGTGTTAATAAAACAAATTATATTTTCCAATTTTTCTAAGGAATTGTACTTTTAATAGGATACAAACTGCAACTGATGATTGATAAAAGTATGGATTTCAAATTGTTTTGTGCAACTGGGTTAATACTGATGTTAGAATCTCTCAAAATATTACACAGAAAAATACAGCACGATTTAATTACACAAATAGATAAGAAATCACTAAGTAAGGTAAAAACTAACCAAATTCTGCAGTATATTCAAGATTATGTTTGCAAGCATGCTCCACGAAGTGTTATTTATAAAATAAAAATGCATAGTTAGAAAAAAAAGCAGGACTTTTGAAAAAGTGTGAATGTATCAAATAGTCCCATAAAAGAGGATATGATATCAGCTATCAAAATACTTCTGAACAATAGTTCTAAATTTCAGCAGCAAAGCTTTTTTTTCTCCAAAGTTATTCTAATATTCAATCTAACATGCAAAGTAAATAAGTGAGTTTTCTTCCGCCCTGTTCCTCCCCACAAGAGCCTCAGAGCACTAAAGAAGCAAAATGAGGAAACAAATGAATACTTCATAACATGGAAAACCATTATGTAACATTGCTAAATGGTTGAAGAAGGCTCCAAAAATATTAGCAGATGATGGTCTTATTTTGTGAAACAGAACATTTATTTATCCCGCTAATACTAAGTTTCAATTATATGCAGGAAATACACTTGCGATAATAATTTTTGTTTTCTTTTTCCCTTCTGTGCTTCCCATAACAATTTGTAACGAGTGTAGATACTTTTTCAACCAGAGGAATTGTGTTTTTAAAGAAGCATTTCAGAGCAAGACATTCAGATCCACATGTTACCTAGTGTGTCTCTCACTCCCTAAATCCCACTCTCACTCCACATTTCTTCTTTCAAGGCCATAATCCCAGGCTCACGTTGTTATCATCCCCATGTTCTGGTTGCTAAACGCAACACATACCCTTTCATGCTAGTTGTTACTGACCTAAGTGTGGCACTTGTGGAATTCTCTGCCTGTTCTTACTCTTTAAACATTGTTGACTAAGTCTACCCTTGGTCGTCTTCTCTTCCCATTCTTCCCAGAAACCCTTTCCATGCCTGTAACTTCACTTGCTGTTTCTGTAAATATTATTTCCAAATTAGCATCTTCAGCCCAAAGCTCTCCAGGGAGCCTAAGACACTTATACAGTAGGCTTGATCTATGTTCTTGAGTGTCCCACAGTCTCTTTAGATTAAGCGACTTCCACAATACAACATGTCTTCTCCATACAACTTGCTCTGTGCTTGTGTTTTCTCATACTTTTAAAAGAAACCACTATTCGCCTATTTTCTAAATCAGAACTTACCCAAAGCTAATGATGCTCTAAGCTGCATCCACTCTAACTTACATATCTTTTGAAGTCTTTGTTTTTCCATTTCTGTTAAAACTTAGTGAATAAAGGAGAAATGAGTGTAACCACAGAGAAAAAAATAAAAATAAAAGTACTATTGCTCAGAAAGTAAAATTCTAAAATGTTTGTTTACTATCATTTTCAAAACATAGTTTGTCCTTTTAACTTAATGCCTTTGTTGTATTTATTCGTACTCACGTCCTACAAAGTTGCCTTTGTCCTCCTTACTACCAAGAATGCTTCAGTTAAGGTAGGAACTTAACAAAAATGATGGACGTATGAGGCCATCTTGCACTGTTATAAATAAATGCCAGAGACTAGGTAATTTATACAGGAAATAGTTTTAAGTGGCTCACTGTTCTGCAGGCTTTACAGGAAGTGTGGCATTTGGCATCTGCTGGGCTTTGGGAGGCCCCAGAAAGCTTCCAATCATGGCAGAAGGTGAAGGGGGAACAGGTAGGTCACATGGACAGAGAAGGACCATGGGAGGTAGGGGAGAGGCACCACACACTTTTAAACAACCAGATCTTGAGAGAACTCACTCACTATTGCAAGGATAGTGCCACGCCATGACGGAAACTCCCTCATGACCCAAACACCCTCCACCAGGCCCCACTTCCAGCACTGGGGATTACAACTCAGCATGAGATTTTGATAGGGACAAATATCCAAACTATGTCAGATGTTTAGTGGATGAATAGATAAAGAAGAGATAGATGGAGAGAGATACTGGATTGCAGAACGTGATGATGCAACAAGATAAACATGAAATCAGAAAAGAAAAAAAAAGGCAATCACAAAAAAAAGAAAGGGCAGTGATTTCTCTAGAAATCACATTTCAAATGTACAGACAGTACTCCTGACTCTACTAACTGGTACCAAATATCTGTTCACTCTAATTTTTGGTGCAAGTGAATAAAGTGAAAAGAATATTCTCCCAGAAGTGTACTCATTATAAACAAAAGTCAGAGGAAATAATTGATTTATTTCACAGTCTAACACTTGTGCTGAATGAATCTTGTCAACTGCATTGTATTGCTGTGATTTTTAATCATGTTCCTATAGTTAATTTTATGGGCCATGTCTATAGAGCAAACTTTTTGACCTAGCTCATTGCTTTTTGGACGTGTGACCTCATCCATCTGGCTGAACTAGTCCACCAGCTGGGAGATGGCAGCCAAGACTCTATCCAGAGGCAGCGCAACTTTAAAAAGTTCTGAACAGTAGCACCATGGCAGCTGGGTTCCTAGGTGTCCCAGACTGGCTTGATGCTCTTCACTCATTAAGTAAATTTGAGTTCTTTAATCTAGACCTTCTGATCTTAGCAATGATGTTTGTATAAATGGGACATAGGTTTAGGGAGTGTATTTGTCTCCTTTTGTGTCTGTTGAAATTTCATTTAATTATTTCCACCTATGAAATACTAAAACAGCATCAACAGAACTGTGTTTTAGAAATACCAGAAAGAATGAGACGTGGCATCCATCCATCTCCTTGGTCAAGGTCTTCAGGCTGGGTACCATAATTTCTCTGTATCATGTGGCTTTTTAGAAACTGCTATGTCAGTTCACCAAGCCAAGCATTCTACCATCATTTCCTGTTCTTATTACTTATGGTGGTAACTCATAGAAATGCACCTTCTCTTCTTTACCATGGTGGCCGCAAACAGCCTCTTTGGCATAGCCGCCAAGCTCTCAAATGCTTTGCTCATTTAAATGAATGAGGTCAACGTGAAATCTCTGTTAAAAGAAGGGGAGGAGGCTTATTTAAAATATGATCTTAAAAATTACTTCTTTTATTCTTATCATTTTAAAAAAAATCATAGCTGACCTGGAAGAAACTAACAGACAGTGAAGAGAATGACTTATTATGGTTGAGTGTCTTTTTTCCCTGTATTTTGTGGCATTTATTTATTTTTCTCATCACATGGAGTAAGAGGTTCAAGTAATTATTTTGTTCACTTTCTTTGGAAAAGTTAAACTCAGGCAGGTTTCAGGCATAGACTGTGAAATACGGAGGAAAGGCAAACCTTCACTTTATGTCGTCCTGTGGTAAATGCTCAGGGGCCTGTTGGGGTTACTGTGCTGGGCATTTTCCTGTTACCTCCTGGCAAGTCTGCCATCAAAGTCATCTGGACAGCCAGACGAGAGGGCGGCCAGCAGTATGTGAAAAACCATGCTATTGAGAAAAGCACATTAAAACCACAATGTGATACCACCTTACTCCTGCAAGAATGGCCATAATAAAAAAATCAAACAGTAATAGATGTTGGTGTGGATGTGGTGAAGAGGGCACACTTCTACACTGCTGGTGGGAATGTAAACTCATACAACCACTATGGAAAACAGTGTGGAGATTTCTTAAAGAACTAAAAGTGGAACTACCATTTGATCCAGCAATCTCACTCCTGGGTATCTACTCAGAGGAAAAGAAGTCATTATACAAAAAAGATACCGGCATATGCATGTTTATGGCTGCATGATTCGCAGTTGCAAAAATGCAAAAATGTGGAACCAGCCCAAATGCCCATCGATCAACGAGTGGATAAAGAAACGGTGATATATATGATGGAATACTACTCAGCCATAAAAAGGAATGAATTAATGGCATTTGCAGCAACCTAGATAAGATTGGAGACTACTATTCTAGGTGAAGTAACTCAGGAATGGAAAACCAAACATTGTATGTTCTCACTCATAAGTGGGAGCTAAGCTGTAAGGATGCAAAGGCATAAGAATGACACAATGGACTTTGGGGACTCAGGGGGAAAGGGTGGGAAGGGGGTGAGGGATAAATGACTACAAATTGGATTCAGTCTATACTGCTCAGGAGATGAGTACACCAAAATTTTACAAATCTTCACTAAAGAATTTATGCATGTAACCAAACACCACCTGTTCCCCAAAAGCCAATGAAAATAAAAAATTTTAAAAACCCCTAATATTGTCAAAAAGACTGTTCTTCTTGGGAGACTTGGGGGACCCAAGCAGCTAACCCTCCCCTCCAAGAGCATGGTGGGTGTCTGCTGCTGTGTGCGGCCATCCTCATAAAGTCCCATATTTGTTGACCTTAAAGAAACTTTGAATCTTCTTACGATGGCGCTTTGTGCCTTTCTTTCAATCACACTGCTTTAAGATCTTGGGTGAAAAGTTAGGCCTTAAGGGACAAGAAACGGTTTATACAGATTTATTTTAAAATAATGTCTGCTATTGTTAAAACTGAACTGCACTTGGAAGTAAATTATTGTATCAAGAAGTGAATGGCTTAAATAAATGTTTTTACTGGAGTGACATGCGATTGAGAATGTTGTCATTTATAGGATATAGCTTCATAATTTGCTGCTTCATAGAAGAATGTCACTGTCTTGGAAAAAATCAAGATGGCAGGAAAGGGAAGTAAACAAATTTATGGAAAACAAAGATGATGTCAGGTTTGCAGAGGTTTCTAACTACAAGTAAATGTTGATGACTAACTGCAAATTTGATCATTGGGGGTTAAGATGGTTGTATTCCTGTCAATTTTTTAAACTGTCCTCTTTCATATTTTTTCCCTTCAAATACCTTGTGAGATTTTGCCCAACAATTGTGCTTATTTCAGAGCCAACGGCAGGTAATGAGATGCTGATTGGGGATTCTAGAATTCACTTGCCGATGATTATGTGTTATTTTAACAGGAGAATGACAATAATTTCCTGTAATGCCACTTGTTAAGGTAATTATGCTATAATTGCCTTATCAAGGTGTCATAGAGGAGAAGGGAGAAATTCCGGGATTTCACAGCTGCTGTCATGCTCCTTAAGTGTTAGCTTGAAGCTGCATTGTCAGTCATTGGGATAAATCCCTTTAATTGTTTAAAACCTGAATATTGTTGTCTTGGGTAGTTATGTGACCTCAAAACGAGATTTTTTCAAGAGTTGGTTTTTCTCATCTTCATATTACAGCTACATGGTAAATTAAATGCACAAATATAAACATATACTTAAACATGTTTCAATTGCAATAAAATCTAAAGAATTCATTTGCAGAAGATGTGGACTTAAGAATAAATATTAACAAATAGCATATAATATATGGCATGCATATCTAAAATGTGAGTCAAGAATGTATTTTCCATTTAACATCTCATTGAAGAGATGTCTTTCACGGAGAAGACAAACTAGCATTATTTTTGATTGACTTTATAGTGCTATAGTGAAGCTTATTTATTCATTTAAATAAGACTTTTATCTTTATTAAAATGATCAATAATGCAAACATTATTTCAGTGAATATGGGACCTTGTTCTAAAATATTCTAAATTCAGGAGATTGAAATATGCTTTCCCTGAACACATTACGCTTGCATTGTCTGAAGAGGTAGATGGTAAGGAAGGGAAACCCATGAAAAGGATGGTGGGTGAGGCAGCGGGAAGTGACAGGGATGAGGGCTCAGGCAGGGAAAACGCCCGAACCTGAATGCTGGGCGATGGAGGTTGGCATGTTCCATAGGGTGGCAGGTAAGTAAGGCAACTTTAGAGTTCAGACAGCAGTCGCCAAAGGAGTCAGCTCGGCTATGGCCTGGTGGAAAGGCTTAACTATGGCCTCGTGGAATGCCTTAACTTTTCACTGGTGCAGCGCACAGGAGGCAAAAGTGAGGGGCAACAAGAGGGAAATCGTGTCTGAGTGCTGAGAACAGAGACCGGAGCAGTAGTGGATGATTGCATAGAGGAGATGGGGCTCAGATACCTGTGGGTGTTGTGGGTCCTGGTGGGGGGAGTTGGCCTGTACTTTGAGTGGGATGGAAGCCCATCGGGAAGTCTGTGCAGACAGGATCAAGCCTAGGGTTTTATAGGATTCTTCTGACTGCGGCTTTGAGAGCAGACTCCAGCAGGGAGCAAAAGCAGCCGGCGGGAGGCCAGCTGGTTAGCGGAGAAAGCAAGGCATGGACTGCTGGGTTCATGATGGTGGCTTGGAGCAAGGAAGTGGCACAAGAAGAAGTGAGAAGTGATCCCATGAGATGTCCTGATACACTGAATATCCGGAAGGCTAGGGAAAGAAGGGGACAAGGTGAAGGCTCTTAGCGTATCTGCCTAGAAAAATAGAACTGCTGGTGTCTGAGAGGAGAGGAGAGATTGCAGTGATGTGTGTACTTCTGTGTTTTTGAAGTTTTGGAAAGAGATATTTTCAAGCTTGTGCGTACGAATAGAACTGATTTAACAAAGAGAAGAACAGTACAGGAAATGGAATCACTCAGAACAAAGTCCTTGAAGGCTGGAGGAAAGTGGCTGGATCTAGGACACTACCTCGTAATCTTAGAGAAGAAGGGAGTTTCTACCCCTTTTAGTACAAGTGAGTGAGGTGGTGGGCACAGAAGCAGGTGTGGGAGCACGGGACGTTTCCCTCCTTGTGCATTTTTGTGGGATAGTGTTTTGGAAACACACCGTACATATGTTTATTTTTAAATATATTTTAAATCCTGCATCCTCTTCTATCTTCCATCTACAGTAGAAAGGTAAACTTCATTGCCTTAAAGAGAACACAGAGGAACCTAATAAATATTAACCTCTTGATTTTTGAGCTCTAATTAGACATTTAAAAATACTAACGCTGAACAATCATTTGTAAGTCAAAGCGCTTTCAGTTTCTAGGGCTGGTCTTTGTTGAGAAGGAATTTTATGTCTTCAATTTTAAAGTAGCTTAGCTAAGAATATGAATAGTAATACCCAGGGAGAATGCTGAGTGTAGATGTAGCTATCCTCCACTGAGCTGAGGACACTCCAGGAAGAAGGAAGGTGTGTCCCCTCCCAAAGCATGAGGAGTCCAACAACAGGCAGGAGGGAGACGCAGGAGTGCAACGTGAATTCAGGTGATGTCTGAGCATCTGAGAAGGGCTCCAGCATCACAGCACCTTGGGGTGAAGCCATGTGGGAGAGGGTGGTAGGGAAGATTGGCGCAAAAGTAACTGCAGTTCCACAATTACTTTTGCACCAACCTGTAGAAAGGCCTGGCAGTTTCAAGGTCAGTGAATAGAGACTCCTCTTGCCTCTTGTCTTAGCTTTAGCTTAAGGGAAAGCAGATTAGAAAAACCCAGACTCATTCCTGCCTCCTGGGAAGTAGAGGATGGATGAATATCCAGAACGTCTGGAAGACTGCACTGGGGTTTGGGCCCACAGAAATCCTCCCATCCCTGTGTAGCTTAGGAAGAATGGCCAACTGTGGCAAGTGAGAATGTCTGAAACCCAGTAGAAATCCAGCGGCTGCAACAGGAAGGTTTGAGTTTATGAACCAAGCACAAAAATGGGGTGGGTGAGAGTCACCCTCACCTTTGCAGAGGTGAATGAGGACAGAAGGGGACATGGGACACATGAATTCCTCCCTGGTAAAGTATAATTTTCTAAAAGATAAACTCATTGCTCTCATGCAAACAAACAATGAACACATTTCAAAAGTTTTGTTCAAATCCCTAATTAATAAGGGATGAATAAGGTTAACATAGGTTTAAAAGAGAATTTGAGAGATGGAAAGATAGATGAATAGATGGATGGAGGGATAGAGAGCAGATAGATAAATAGATGAACATATGCATGGATAGATGGTTGAGTGGCTGGATAGACATGGGGAACAGACAGATAGACAGATGAGCAGATGCATGGATGGATGGTTGAATGGATGGATGGATAGATGAATGGATGGATAGATGGATACATGGATACATGGATGGATGAACAGAAACAGATAGATAGACAGATAGATGATAGATGAACAGATTCATAGATGAGCAGACGGATGATGGACAGACAGCCAGATACATAGATGAACAGATGCATGGCTGAATGGATGGATATATATGTAGATGATAGATAAATGAGAGGTAGACGTATGGACAGATGAAAGGATGACAGATGGGTGGATGGATAAAGAGATGATAGATCACTGACAGATGGACAGATGGATGAATGGTTGAATAAGCAGATGGATGGATAGATTATAGACAGATGAATGCATACATGCACACATACATACACTTTGAATCCATACTAACAATGCTGACAATGAATGAGAATTGCACTCATTGAAGTTTCTAAGACTTCATTTGAGAATTAAAAACAATTTTACAAACATTGCAGTTTTTGTTTTCTTTCCACATCTCTTTTGTTTTAAAAACAATGTTAAAACAGCAGTTTCGTATCAGAAATGAAGACTGATGAGTTTTTTCTCAGTTTCCATCCACAAAAACATTTGCCAGCCTCCTGCAAGGTGAATTCTAACTGCAGCCCAGGTGGTGCTCAAGCCACTCTAACTACCAGTGAGGACCAGTGAGTGAAACTGACAAGGTCAGGAGAAGGAAAAGATACACAGACTATACTTTTGCAAGACACTTTCTTCCTTGTTTTCACTAAATTGTTTGAACACTGTCAAGACTCAATATCTCCTTCTAAATGGAAACAGTAACATGTCTCTCAATTCCAGCAGCTCTTCTCCGAGATCAATCCCCAAATCTTCTCATTGCCCCAAGTTTTTGAGACTTCTCTCTTTTTCTTTTCTCTTCTTCTTGACTTGGGGGTCCTCCTGAGACGCTCCTCTCAGACTCTGGCTTCTACCTGACATTTAGAAACAGTCCTGCTCAAGTGAGGGTTTTCTAAACCAGGGGCGACCAGCACCCCCACCCCCATCTTCTGTGATAGCTGTACAGCCTGACGAGCACAAAGCCACTGGGAGAGACTCACCGTAGGTTTTGGAGTCTTAGCCAGGAACTGCGTGTCTGTAGTGCCAGCTACTTGGGAGG
This sequence comes from Homo sapiens, assembly GCF_000001405.40. Taxonomy (NCBI): domain Eukaryota; kingdom Metazoa; phylum Chordata; class Mammalia; order Primates; family Hominidae; genus Homo; species Homo sapiens. Next base: position 2,646,485 of record NC_000010.11, on the reverse strand, counting down.
CCAAGTGGCAGGATTTCTTAAGCCAAATTTGAGACTAGGCAACTCCATATCTTAAAAAAAAAAAAAAAGTCTGGACACCAGAGCCACCATCTGAGCTGAAGTTCCACTCCGTCACCTGACAACCGCGTGACCTATTGCCTATGGCTTAATAACTCTCCACCTTAGTTTGCTTACCTGTAAAGGTGGGAAAAGTAGTGTTTTCCTCCTAGGTTGATGGAGATGAAAATCTGTGACCACCCTCTGTGAAATACACATAATAATGCCAGAATAAGGAGTGTGAAGGAGTCTGGATGCTGCTTCCTGTGGCTCAGAGAAACCTTAAGGAAAGAGAGGGGAGGGAGTGAAGGGGAGAGGAAAAGGGGAAACAGAGCAGGAGGGGAAGACAGCTCCTAACCTCTTCAGTCACAGACTTCTTTGCTCCCCACCAATAGGGAAAAGATGCTAGTTTTAAGAGGGACATTCTTGCTCTTAATAACATCTTATTGTCCCTTTCATCTTATCTTTTGCTAAATTTCAAGCTACATATCAGAAGGAATTAGAGTGAAATGGTTAATGAATTTCACTTCATTCTTGAAGCAGAATCAATTGATGGTTCTATTTATTTCTATTTAACAATCTAGTACAGTCTGGTTTTATAGAGTGAAAAATTATAGAGATAACTCATTTATCTTGAAAATTAATATTCTGATACTCTCTTTTTGGTTTAATTTATGCTTTATATGTTATATATGAGTTCAATAAAAAACAAAGGAAAAATATATTTGACTTTAAAATATCCTGACTTAAATATATTAAGGAATATGCTAGTAATGGAATCTACAGTTCCTACAGATCAAATAGTAATGATGCCATGGTGGGAAGATCTAATTAAAAGAAGCTGCTAGTCAAACTGACCATTTTCTCTTTTTTCTTAACTCCTGTGCTAAATTTATGTCTTGTTTTCCCTTACTGATATATAGTTTGCTTCTTCTTGACTTTTTCTTTAAAAATATAAAATGCTTAAACATTTAGGATCCTGTGGACCTTATAAAAGCAAATAATAGGAGCTAAGATATCACTAAAACTAAAATCAAGTAGAGTAGCTGTCAATAAGCATAAAAGCGAGCCATAATCTTTGTTCCCCTGAGATAACCGAAATGCAACACATTATGATAAAATCTCCCTAGGATATAAAATTTTTTGATGGCAGCTGTAAAAAGTTAGACTTTTGCCATAGAGTGGAATAGGGCCAGAACGTTTTCTTGCCATTCCTCTGGCTTTGGTTAGGAATTTTGTTTTTTAAAAGTAGTTTTCTGTCTATATATGAAATTGATGCTTAACTGTAAAGAATGAATCAGGAAGGAGTAACACAAATCAGGTGTCATTATGCCTTTTTTTTTTTTTTCCTGGTTAATCTTGCTTTAAATTATCCACTGAACCTGTCTCTTCGTACTCAGGCTGCTTTAGTTGGAAATGAATACTTCAGTTTCTTTCACCAAATGAGCAAAATACTCTCTTTAGTTCATTTTATTTTGAGGTGTTATGATGTCAAACAACAGAAATGAAGAGAAGAGAAACAAGGTACTGAAAAAGGTGTTTTATAATTCATTTGGATATTTTCAGTAGTTCTATATACAATTAGAGATTGCTGATGCAATGGTTATTAAGAAACAAAGTGCCTGGTTGTCACACAATTTCCCAATGAATGAGGGAAAATTAATTTGTCAGCACTATGTTGAGTTACAAAAGTTTAGCGGAATATCCACATTTAATTCACATCATTTTAAAAGGTGTTTCTTTGTCATTTACATATAGCATTAACAATGTTTTAGGTATCACCTTCTAGAGCCGGAGATCATTTTTCCTTGCTAAGATTTGACTGAGTAGGGATATTTATTTCGACACTAACACCTATGCTTTAGATTTAGTGAGTTTGAATGTTTCATCATTTTATTTTGATTTTTTGTTTAATTATTAGACGCAATACAATTGAAATAATAGGGAGAAAATTATAAAATATCTGTTTTAAAACCTAGCATCTTATTACCTGATTCTGAAAAGCATTTTTAGTGTATTTTTTGTCCTTTAAAACAATGTATAAATGTATGATATCTTACAGCTGTATCTTGGGGAAAGTTCATCTTTTTTCATGGGAAAGGGAACGATTACATGAGTAGATTAAGCGACTTTTCCCAAATGCAAATATCTTAGAAATAATAATTTGTGATGGGATTCTCATTTATATTATCTGGATTTGTTTGGTGGGCACTTTATAACTACATAGTAACGTTCCTAGTAACTGTTAATGGGACAATGGTTTCCAAATGTGCATATTTTGTTGACTCAGTGATGCCCTTGATCAAATGACATATCATCATTTTATATCACATTTAAAAAGAGAAAATACTGGTAGTTAAACTATCACCTAGAATTTCTAATGTAACCGACCAGAAAAAAAGCTTTTAGGTATTTACTTAAAAAAATAATTGGGTAATTTTTGGATTCACCTTTATCAATTGGTTGAGAATGCACAATATTTTACTGTTTGTCCTTAAGGCTAACAATTTTAGTTACTAAAAAATTGTCCAGAAATATTGCATTATATCCTAGGTATTAATAATGCATTATAGAAACTGTTAGATCTGCTCTTATCCTCTGATGACTATTAATTTTTCTTTTATTTTAGTAGGCAGTGTGATTTACTAGTCTCCAAGTGTATACTTTAAAATCTCAACTCATTTTAGCCACAGCTGGGCTACTTGACTTAAACTTTAGATATGAATATTCCAGGATAGCTAGTGATTTGTACAGTTTGGTACATAGATATATGTACCCTTTGTACGTAGATATATGTGTGTGTGTGTGTGTGTGTGTGTGAGCACATATATATTACTGTAATAAATGCATTTATATATTCCTGTTATATAAAAGAATAGGTAAACTTTACATTGGGAAAACCTATTTGAATTGTGAACATGTGACAAAACACTTTTATCTAGAATGTTTAAAAAGATCCGGCCGGGCACGGTGGCTGACACCTGTAATCCCAGCACTTTGGGAGGCCGAGGCGGGCGGATCACGAGGTCAGGAGATCGAGACCATCCTGGCTAACATGGTGAAACCCCATCTCTACTAAAAATACAGAAAGTCAGCTGGGCTTGGTGGGGGGCGCCCGTAGTCCCAGCTACTCGGGAGGCTGAGGCAGAAGAATATTGTGAACCCGGGAGGCGGAGCTTGCAGTGAGCAGAGATTGCTCCACTGTACTCCAGCCTGGGAGACAGAGCCAGACTCTGTCTCAAAAAAAAATATATATATATATATATATCCTACCACTCAAACATAAAAAAGACAAATAGCCTATGAAAAGAATGGGCAAACATTGAACAGAGTCTCCACAAATTAAGAAGTACCAATGAACAATGAGCAGTACTTCATAAAAAGGATGCTCAACATAATTTATTACTAAGAAAATAAAAACTTCCACAATTACTTGTCTGTAGGAATGGCTAAAATTTAAAGACAAATGGATAAACATTCAAGTGGCTAAAATAAAAATGTTGGCAAAAGTTTAGAGCAACCACATTCTTGATTCTTGGCAAAAAGTAAAATGAATATCTGCCATCTTCCTGTTGCCTTTATGCCTTATGCCTTTTTTTTTTAACCTCTATTCCTTTATTCTTGCCTTATTTTGTGTTAAACACTTTTTTTTGGTATAACATTTTAATTCTCTTGTGGGTTTTTTTCGCTTTTTTTGTTTTTATTCTAGTAGTTTCCCTGAACATTACAATTAACATCTTGATTTCTAATATTCTGAACTATCTGATTTTTACTTAATTTCAGTAATCAACAAAAACTTTACTTCTAACAGCTCCATTCTATTCTCCCCTTATTTTTCTATTATTGTCATGCAAATCATGTTGTTATACATTAAGTGTCCAACAACACAGGTGCACAATTTTTATTTTTACACGTTTCTTTTTAAATAAGATAGAAAAAATAGTTACAAACAAATCTACATTTATACCGTCTTTGATATTAACCTATGTGGTTACTTTACCAGTGCTTTTAATTTATTCATGTAGATTTGAGTTATTGCTGAATGTCCTTTCCTTTTAGTATGAAGGACCCTAGTTAATGTAAGAAATAACTTAATTTTCCTTATTGTTATTATTTGGGAATGTCTTAATTTCTTTTCTTTCATGGAGAAACAGTATTCTAGATAAAATTTTTGTTTAGCAGTCTTTTTGTTTTAGCAGCTTGCGTATGTCATCCCACCACCTTCTGACTGTCATAATTTCCAATGAAAAATAAGCTATTAACTTTATTGAGACTCCTTTGTGTGTAATAATTCACTTCTCTTTTTCTTCCTTCTAGATTATGTCTTATCATTGGCTTTCAACAGTTTCTCTATGGTGTGTGTTCAGGTGGGTATCACACTGAGTTTATCTTACTCAGTTGTTGAGCTGCTTGTACATGTAGATACTGTTTTGTTTTGTTTTTTTTTCTCTAATCAAATTTGGGGTTTGTGGCTATTGTTTCTTCAAGTATTTCTTTATCCTCCTCTTTTTCCTCTCATTCCGGAACTCTCATTATTCATAAGTTGTTTCATCTGATGGAGTTTCATGGGTGGATGAAGCTCTGCTTATTTTTCTTTATTATTTTTTCTTTCTGTTTTTCAGACTGAATAATCTCAACAGACTTGTCTGAAGTTCACTAATTTTTTTTTTTTTTTTTTTTTCTGAGACAGAGTTTCACTCTTGTTGTTCAGCCTGGAGTGCAATGGCATGATCTCAGCTCACTGCAACCTCTATCTCCCAAGTTCAGGTGATTCTCCTGCCTCAGCCTCCCAAGTAGCTGGGATTACAGGCAGGTACCACCACGCCCAGCTAATTTTTGCATTTTTAGTAGAGACAGGGTTTCACCATGTTCGTCAGGCTGGTCTCAAACTCCTGACCTCAGGTGATCCACCCGCCCCGTCCTCCCAAAGTGCTGGGATTACAGGCATGAGCCACCTCGCCTGGCTGAAGTTTACTAATTTTTTTGTAACCTCAAATTTTCTGTTGAGCTCCTCTAGACAATTGTTTATTTCACGTATTGTCTCCAGCATTTCTATCTGGTTCTTTTTGTGTGACTTCTATGTCTTTGCTGATGTTCTCTGTTTGGTGAGATTGTTCATATACTTTTCTGTAGTTATTTAAATGTGGTTTCATTTAGTTCTCTAAGCATATTTAAAACAGCTCATTTAAATTATTTGCTTAGTGAGTCTAATGTCTCGGGTTTCTCACGGAGAATTTCAACTGACTGCTTCTTTCCTGGTGTGTGAGCTGTACTGTCTTGTTTTTTTTCACATGCATCATCATTTTGTTGTTGCTGCTGTTGAAAACATATATATTAAATAATGTAGTGCGGCAACTCTAGAAACAAGTTCCCTCTTAGGGTGTCTTGTTGCTGTTTGCTCAGTGACTATCCTCAGCCAACTCGGTAGCATCTGGTCTCTTTGTTGTCTGTTGTTAATAATGTCTCTGCTCAGTTGGCTTAGGGAGAAGTCCATGATTTAATAAAGATTTCCTTAAATTTCCAAGAACGATACATCTCCCAGGATTCTCTGACTGTGTGTGTCTCATCACCCCATCCAGACTCAACATGTGTGGTTTTGACTCTGTCTTTGCCTTTACTTTCTGCTTGCACAGATCCTTAAATTCAACCAGAGCTGAGAGTTTAGGCCTTCCACAGGTCTTCGCTGGGCATGTATACAGCATTAAGTATGCATGTGGACTTCTAGATTCTCAGAAATGTATTGGAACTTTTGAAACCTCCCTGTGAACCTCTCACTCCACAGCTTTTCTTTTTAAGCTTTTTGGTCAGCTTTTTTTCTGTTTTCCCAAAGGTTTCTGTTTTCCTGTGGTTTACCACCTCAGGAAGATGCTACGTTCAACAATTGCTAAAAATGTCCAACAAACATCCCATATCTATGTGCACTGAGTAAGGTCTGAGTCGGGTCAAATAAAGATAAGTCCTGCAAACAGGGGTGTATCAGTCTGTTCTCATGCTGCTATAAAGAATTGTCTGAGACTGGGGAGTTTATAAATAAAAGAGGTTTAATTGACTCACAGTTTTGCAGGGCTGGGAGGCCTCAAGAAACTTACAATCATGGCAGAAGAGGAAGAAAACATGTCATTTTTCACTAGGGTGGCAGAAAGGCGGAGTGCTGAGCAAAAGGGGAAAAGCCCCGATAAAACCACCAGATCTCGTTGAGAACTCACTCACTATCATGAGAACAGCATGGAGGCAACTCCTCCATGATTCCATTACCTCCCACTGGCTCCTTCTCACGACTTGTGGGTATTATGAGAACTACAGTTCGAGATGAGATTTGGGTGGGGACACAGCCACACCATATCAAGGGGTTTTCAAGAAACTGTGAGAACAAGTCAAATTAAAACAACTTCCTGAGAATTTGATGGAAAGCGACAAACACATTATGCTTTCTCCAGGGGCCACTAGCCTGCTGGCTTTTATGTGGATTGTGAGGCTGTTGGTTTTCAAGGCTACTGCAAAGCTGGGGGAGAGGAGGATGGTTTAAGAAAAATTAAAATGCCACAACTCTCACTGTTCTTACTGACATTCTGCCATTTTGTTTTTGTTTTTGAATCAATACTCCACAGATTAAACTCTATAGTGAATCTTGAAAGTTCTAAAGCAGTTGATTTTGATGGTGTTCTCATTCTTTTGTTGAGGAGTGGCTTTCTGATGTCCTTACTCTGCATTCCCACTGACATCACACTTACATACTTATTTTGTTAAATAAAAATGTATCTCTGCCAAAATAATGCTACCGTAATGTCCACATCAGCTTTGTTCAGGATAGTCAAAATCTAGAAAGAGTATTTGAACAGGACAATTGATGCACTTCCTGTGGAATGGTCATGCAGTAAACCAGTGTCCATCCATAGGATGGACAACATGGTTAAATCTCAAAAAGAATTGTTTTCAATTTAGTATCAACACATGGCTGTTGCCTGGTTGCCTGATGAATGCTTCTATTTTCTCTTTTGTTTGCCGTATATTTGTTGAAAGAATTACTGACAGAATAAAAGAATTAGAGCTCTGTGTATTGAACTACTATTGAGCTTCCCAAGTGTATAAACCAGAGATTCCTTCAAATCTATTCTTGATTCTATCAGCACCTCCAACCTGTCCTTTTGAATAGTAGACTTGAATGATGAATGGCAGGGGCATGTTTTAGCATACATGTTTTTAAAAATTAAGAAAGATATATAGTCATTGGTTAAAGTTAAGAACTAAAGTTAAAAAATACTTTTAACAACTTTTGATTAAAATTGGCAGCAAAGAGGATGAGGATGCCTAGTGGAAGAGTGAATCTGGGAAGACTGAATCCAGACTGCACATACTGAGAACTTTTATACATAGGAGCCTGTAATCAGTACCCTGAGCACTAATAATTTTCAAAAACCCTTGGAATATCATGTAAGGTATCTATTTCATCTCACTTGTTCAAGTGAATATAATTTAAAAATATAATTTTACATGATAATTTTTCTTTCTGAATAAGCAGCAATTATAAGGCTTACTGAAGTAATGACAGCTAGCAAATTTTGTGACTGTGGAAAACAGACCAGATATTCAAGTTTTTTCAACCATATTTTATGTATATTTAGTTTCTTAATACAATATTTTTAGATGAAAAATTCACCTTTTATGCTTGGCAAATCAGACAGCTTAACCAAATTATTCTTAGACACGTTATTTCAGATGTTGTCTAAGGATGACCATGGCAGCATGATAGAAATAACAGTATGATAATTTGCAGTTTGAATATGCTCAACTTCTGCATGGATCCTGCAGTTTGAGGGGACTTACCATGAGCTCTGTTCATCAAAGAAGCCACTGGAGGTGGATACTTCACAGTTGGGGACTCTAGTCTGCCTGCCCTATTTTCTGTTTTTCAAGCAAATTAATATAATATTATACCAGAAAAGGTGTTTACTACAGCCTTAGTCTGAGCTTCTATAACAAATTACCATAAACTGGGTGGCTTACACAACAAACAGTTATTTCTCATAGTTCTAGAGGCTGAGAAATCCAAGTTCAAGGAGCGGGCAGGTCTGGCGTCTGGGGAGGGCACTCGACCTGGATACCTGGAGTGAAGCATAGGCATCTTCTTGCTTGTGTCCTCACACAGTGGAGAGAGAAAGAGGAATAGCCCATCTTTTTATCTCTTCTTAGAAGTGCACTAATCCATCTTATGAGCTCCAACCTCATGATTTAACTGCCTCCCAAAGACTGCATCTGCTGGTACCCTTCCGTTGGAGGTTAGGATTTCAACATGGATTTTGGGAAGATGCAAACATTCAGTCCATAACAGCTACTTAATCATTTGCCTTCAGTGTCCTATAGCAGAAGTAATGGGTTTCATTTTCATGTTCATAAATGCAGAATCAACTAGTGTGTCTCTATGCTCTGTTTGCTCACCATCTCCACATAAACAGGTGCAATATTTCAAACCACCTGCACTCCCTTCAAACCTTTTCCTGCATCACTTTTTACAGATGATCTTACTTCCTATTTTATATAAAATGGACATGCAAAGCATCACATCTACAAGCCATCCACCTTGCCCATGCTTATTGTTCATCTTATCTTATCCAGTCTGCCTCCCCTCTGACTGTCCTTTTCCTCTCCTTCTGAAGGAACTCACCCTAAGAGTTCCACTCTATTCGAGAGCTCCACCCAGGTTACTCACCTCAGTGAACTCCCAGAACCATGCACCATCTTTGGTGTCTCCTCCTCCCTGAATCACTGATCCCTTCCAGCTGACTCACATAGACACTCGACTCTCTTCACTTCCCTCATCTTCCCACCGTCACTGTTGCTCCCTGCGGCTGCTGTAAGAGCCTCCTGGCTGGGATCTTCACACGGTCTATGGCTGTCCTGCCTATTCCCCCATGGAAATCCACAAGGATAATTGTAAAATGCAAATCCAATCATGTAACCTGCTCTTTGCCTATTGTGTCCCATCCTTAAAACACTTTTTTTTTTCGAGACAGAGATTTACTCTGCAGCCCAGGCTTGAGTGTAGTGGTGTAATATAGGCTCACTGGAGCCTCAACCTCCCTGGCTTAGCCTGTCCTCCCATATCAGCCTCCTGAGTGGCTGGAACTACAGGTGCTCATCACCAAACCAAGCTAACTTTTGTATTTTGTGTACAGATGGGGTTTTGCCATGTTTCCCAGGCTGGTCTCAAATGCTTGGGCTCAAGCAATCCTCCTATCTCAGCCTCCCAAAGTGTTGGAATTACAGATATGAGCCACCGTAAAACACCTTAATGGCTTCTTGTCTGCAGGGTGGTTGCAAAATTCTAAGTAGAACCTAAAGCCTTAGATTGTCCCATAGCTACCCACACCTCCATTCTCACCTAAGCAGCCTCCTTATCAGCCGTTCAGAATGCGGGTCTCTTCCCTGACTCCAACCTAGCACCTCCTTTTGCCAGAGCACATTTGCTCTCAAGACCAGGCTCTTTCCCCACTCATCTTCTGGCTCACAGTTCAAGTCTTCTGTGGCCATCCTCATGAATCATTCTCTCTTCACCCAGCCATGTGTGCTCAATGCACGAAGTGTCTATCTTAGTCTGTTTTCTGCTGCCGTAATAGAGTAGCACAGACAGGGTAATTTAAAAAAGAAAATTGATTTATTTGTCTCACAGTTGTGGAAGCTAGAAAGTCCAAGATCAAGGGACTCTACCTGGTGAGGGACTTCTTACGCATCTTCTCATGGCAGGAGGCATCACATGGTGAGGGTGCAACCTAGATAAGGAAAGGGAGTCTGGACTGCCCTTTCCTAATACGCATTCATCCCAGAGATTAGACATTCACTTAATCACCTCTTAAAGGTCCCACCTCTCAATACCATCACAATGGCAATTACATTTCAATATGAGTTTTGGAGGGGACATTTAAACCATATCATCATCCTTCCAACTCACAACAATTGAAATTTTACTTATTTTTGCATGAAAATATAATACATATCCGTCTCAGATGTTAGGTGGTTAAGCTACCTAAGGAGAGAGGAGAGATCTTCTCTTTCTGTTTACCTTTATGTCCCCAGAACCTGGTATGCTGTCTAGCATAATTGACACTCAAATAAATCAATACATTGTGCAATGCTTAGTAAAGTTTATCTCTGGGGATATGTATATGTCTCCAAAATATGTATGTATATGTCTCTAAAATAATATTTATGTATTCAATCAACAAATATTTATTATCTGTTATATGCCAGGTCCTATTCTTGGTGGTAGGTAAATAGCAAGAGGAAAAATTCTTTTAAAAATCTCTTGTTATAGGGGGAGAGATAGTTATTTAACAGAAAATTATTTAGTTTTCCAAAAAATAATGTGTACATTGAGAAGCATGATTCTGGTTAGAGGTGTGGAGAGAGGGTGCAGGTGAAAGTGAAATTTTACACAAGTGGTCAGAGGAGGGCTCTGTGAAAAGGTGACCTTTAAATAAAAACTTGTGAGAGACAAGAGAATGAGCTGCAGGGAAGACCATCCTTGCTGAGAGAATGGTGCCCTGCACAAGCCCTGAGGCTGGGGGAGTGGGAGGACCCAGGAACTGAGCCCTAGAAGAGCCAGGGCATACAAAGTCCTGCAGGTGCCAAGCAGGAGGACCTAGTCAGCCACGTTGGAGCATGAGAGCCAGCGAGGGGGAACCTTCAGGAGTATTTTGCACTATTCCTCAACTGCCCCCTTACTGGAGTCTCTTCTGCTATTCCTAGCGTCTACATAGAGCCTACTATGCAGGCTACGTAAATGCTTTTTTACAGATAGACAATCAGTGATGTTCAATCATTGGTTATGACTTTGATAGCAATACCTCTCTGATCAGAAAGCATCAACCTGTCTTTTAAAAAATTAAACTTTTATGATGACATCTCATCTGATGAGAAGAACTTACATATATAAATATGCATAGATATATGCATATACTTACATATATATTCATATATATATACCTTTCTTTTTCTCTGTAGCTGGCTCCTATTCCTAGAAAGTTTGTGATACTTTCCCTCCAAAGATACTCAGAGGTAGTCTCTTAATTAAATTTTTCTTTGCCTGAATTCTACCCCAGTAGGAGGTGATTTTTTGCAAGTGAATGTCCTTGAGCAAAACATCATATAATAACTCTGTGTGCATTTCTGTATGGATTTAAAGGATAATCAACTTGTATGATAATTTTTAGTTAGTGAGACCATTTTCTACCCATGCAAGACTAGGTTTAGCTCCACCACCCTAAGATGGCCTCAAACTGAAAGTTTTCTTTATATTGACCATTTCTCTGAGGAAGATGATGTAGAAGTGGACAGATGAGGCCTGAAATTCACTCATTACTTAGATGTTTTCAGATGAAGAATTTATCCAATGTGGAACCTGTGATAGGGATTGCTATTAAATGGGACAATATTACTTTTGTTTAAAATATAAATGAGCTGAACCATACATGTCTCATATACATCTGCACATTTTTCTAGTCCTTGGACATTATGAAGAACAACTTGTAATATTTGTGTATTCAATGAAAAAGCGTAATTTGAAAAGGTCAGGGCAGCATCAGGAGAGACCAAGGAGATTTCTGTCTTGGATCTGCCTTTCATTAATCGTGTGATCTTATGAAAATTATTTAATCTTCCTACGCCTCCATTTTATGTTTTATAAATAAAAGACTGGTGAATATTAGAAGATACTGCTAAAAATGCTGCCATTCTTCCACTTTTAGCACTTTAGCCCAGATGATGTAGCTAGTTTGGGCCATTTTATCTGCCATGTGGAAACATCATTATTCGAGAATAAAGTGCCCCAGCCCACATAGAAGTGGCAGTCACTTCCGGGTTTGGAACTGTCTGGAGACTCCGTGGCTCTCAGCAGCCTTTCTGTAGGATGTGCCTTCTAAGGCAAACAAGTTGCGTATACCCAGGGTCTACTATAACACTCTCATAAGCAGGGGAGAAGGTTATTATTAGTGCAGCGTCTCCCGTTACCTTCCAAGTTAATCCCATGAATTTCTCTGAGGCTAAAGGGCAGCAGCTTAGACACTGGAAAGAAGAATCTGTGTGACTTCGGGATCGAAACTCAGCATTTCTTTGGGACTCAGGGCTTGTAGAGTTGGTGTGCTTTGCATGCAGGGCATCAAGGAGGATTTTTGGTTGGGTGGCTTCAGCTCCCTTTGGTCACAGTGTCATGACATCTTGTCAACCTCGGTGGCTTTACTGGTTGCTAAGAGCTTATGCGCAGCGTGTGGATGCTGTTGCTGTCTCTGCCTTCATGCGGCTTTGAGAAGTGGAGCCACGGCAGTCAGAGCGCGGCTCCGTCGAGCCAACTTGAGGACCTTCTGGAATTGTGTGTGTGTGTGTGTGTGTGCGTGCAAAACACCACCCAGCGACTCCACACTAAATGAGAGGGAGCTGACTGGAAATGGACCTGCGGCTGGGAATGAGAACCCGAGGAATACTGCTGAGTATTGTTTGTGTGACTTTGTTTCATCTGGAGTCAAGGGTAACATGGGAAACACGAATTATCTAGCATTAAGCAGCGCTGAGCTCAGAAACAGAGACTCAGAAACAGACGCAGTGCATAGTGGGTGGTTGATAGTAAGAGTGGGTAAGAGATAGTAAGAGTGCAAACACTGCTGCTTGCACTTGGCAAGTGATAAGGTTGTCAGAGCAAGCATGTGGTTAACAAGATTGCTGCTAAAGAAAGCTGGAGGGACCCTTCCACCATTGAGGTGCTCATGGTTATTTCCCAGAGTAAGGACTTCTACAGAGCCATATGACTGCACTACGCTATATTACACCCCTAAAGACAACTCGTGAATGTAGGATCCAGCCATTGAAGGATGTCTTCTACTAAAGTGTCATTTTATTTATTGTTCTCCCTTTTCTCCTATATATTTACTCATTTTAATTGCATCTATGTATCCAGCGATTTATGAAACATCTAAGGTTTATTAAGCATTTTTTTTTGCATAGGGGAAAATAATATTAAAATAGCAGACTGCGGATGAAAATTTCCTTCACAAGAACTTGTATTTTTTAAGTAAAAAACTATATAGCAATTTATATTTCCCTTTTCTCTTGATTGCTAAGAACGTGATGCCAATTGAATATTGTGCAGAAACAATTTTATTACAAATTCCAGGTGCAGTTAATTTTTACTTCCTTCTCTTATTTCTGATTTTCCTTAACTTTTAATTTCAGGTTTTTTAAATGCAAGACTATATTTCAGAGTGGAGGATTTTTTGAAGGCAGGGAAGGTATGGATTTCAAATAAGTAAATCCCTTCCAATCATACCTAATAATTTTCCTGGAAGGAAATCAGTGACTTTGAACAATTTTGATCTGGTGCAAGTAACAATTTCACAAAGCCGGGAGAATGTCTTGGAAAATAGCTCTGATTCAAACAGGCAGTGTCAGAGACAATCAAACATGAAACCTGTTCTCTTGAAAGAATTGCTAAGTGTATTCTTTTGCTGTATTTGCGATTTCACCCAAATGCTGTCATCTCCATAAAACTTTATGACTTTGCTATGCCGTGATTGGTTGTACTCAATTTTGATTGCTAGAAATATGCTCTTCTGTGAAACAGCAGATAGTTTTAATTGCTTGGATTTTAATATCTTTTGAAGTGCATACTAGCACTTATGTTCAAAGGTTTCTATCAAATAAATGCATTCGAAAGATTTTACTGGGTGTGTATTTACCCACCAATCTAAAACTCAGTGACAACTATTTAGTGTACAAAGCTTAAAAATTGAAGTACACAGTAGCAATCTGGTTGTTCAGATTTGCTACCATGAGGAATAGCTTTTATTGTTATCATTCCACTTTCAATTTTTTTATTATTTTAATTACTATCCAAATAACTGATGGAGCCAAGACAGGGAGTGGCATACAGAAAAGGGAAATGAATGTAATCTCACTCTTCTATTGTCTTTTTAGTATTACTTGCATTTTGCTCTAAAAACCATAAATAGCTTTATTTCTGCTTAATGGAGTAATTTATATAGTACCTAGTATCTTCATTGACAGCACATTTTATCCAGTAGCAAATGTGCGGCATTTACTGAATCAATTACTTGACTTATGAAGAGGAGCATGGGGCTTCAATGCGCTCCATTCTTCTCAATAACAAAGGAGAAAACACATTAAAAACTAGCATTGATGGGTTGTTGTGAGATTCGGTCAATGTGCTCTCCCAGAGTTGAAATTAAAAGGCAGTTAGGAGAAAATTGTTTTCTCTGGTCATCAGTCACAATGTGAAAGGCCTTTTTCACAATGATTAATTAAAAGCCAAAAAGAGTGAACGAGAGGAGTGAACTTTAATAAAGTATCTGGCTGGTTCCCAGTACCATCTTGAGTTAATAGACGGTGGTTTGCCTTGACTAAGTGTTATGGCTCCAGTCCATAATTTCATCTTGAAAATGGGCAAGGGAGTGAATCTTCCTCTTCGTAATTGAGTATTGATTTGAAAATAAATGGCAGTGAAACTCCCACTGAACTGTCAGGATATATTCTGGACAGCACTGACAATAAATGATTTCTGGTTCTTGTGAAAGTTATGGATCAGCTTGATACTTAAACACACAGAGGACCAGGGCAATCTGTCTTCCGTTTTATCAGGCGTCTGAGGGTCAATAGATGCTGCAACAGGGAATATGGCATTCACGTCCCCGGGGCCCGGCTCAGACTCCATTATGAACCTCTTTTGTAAAACGTTTCCTTGAATTTGGAAAGCAATTTTAAAACAGCAGGTTCAGACATTTGCCTCCTCTTCCAAATAATAGCTTCCTTCTAAATACTGCACTTACGGAATACTTTTCAATGCATTTTCAATGGAAGGGAGTTAAAATGTCATTATAAATGTTTCAACGGGTTTGATAGATTTCCTTTACAAGTGGTAAGTAGCAAAAATTGAGTGTGATCTAACCAGGCACAAAAATTACAAAGGACACTTTTCAACCTGTAGTTTAGGCTCATTCAGAGTGTTTATGGATTGCCCAACCTCATCAATGGGAGACTATAGTCAGTAGAAAAAAATATCCAAGGAGATTTAGGAGGTGTAATGTGGATTTAAAACAACAGTGTTCTTTTACAAAATGTTGTTTTCCTGGTAAACCCCTGGGATAATAGATCAGTGTTCATTAGACATTTAAAAAGTCATTATCTTTGTTTTTCAAGAGAGTTAAAGCTTTTTAAATAAAAACCTCACATTTTTATTCATTTATCTGAGATTCGTGAATTGATATTTGACATGTTCACATTAGCAATTTTGTATTATGCTAAAATATGTACCAAACGCTATCATGGGAAACGATATCTTTCTATCTTCCTTTCTAACTCATCCCTGAGCTGCGCATATCTGAGAGTGTTCTGTTAACCACACAGGAAATCTGTCCAAGATATTTTGATCGTTTTCAAAAAATAAAATGCATTATTAGGTTATTTTTCTTATTTAAATGAAAAAGTTCTTATATTTGTTTGACTTTCGAAAATTTTTCTTGAGGAGTGATCATCTCTTGGGCCTTCTATAAAGGAGCAGTTGAGACTCATGGAAATGCAGCGTGCTGAGGCCCCTTATGCAAAGTATGTGGCTTCCATCCTCTTTCTTTCCATCAGTATATAGAATTTATCAGACAATAACGTTTTCTGGTTGGTACCGAAAAAACAGTCAAACAAATTTTATAAATTATATTGAAATCATGTGGGCAAGTTGTGCCTGGCCATTAAAGAGTTTCAATTTAGTTTCTTTACCTCTATACTCACAGCTGGAATTACGCAGAGCAAGTGAGAATAGCAGCAGTGCTCTCCACGGGCACATCACCTGATATGTTCCTACTGCACAGAGCTAGATTCTTCTAGAAAGTAGCAGAAGCTGCTAATAATTCTGAAATCTTTTCCTGTTGTATGAAGTACGTCGATTTTGAATGAAGCATTAAATCAAAAGGTTAGGGAGCAACTTTATATACCAGATGCACATCTGCAAAGCTATAGTTAGTCCATAAATTAAAAAATGACACTTTTATTATAAAAATGGAGTTCAATGTTTACAGGAGTGTTATGAGGAATATATGCCATGAGAAATAGTAATCCTATAGTTTACTGATTGCATTTTTGGATTGTCATGTTTACTTTTTTAATATTTCTGAAATATATACATATAATACAAGCCTCTTGGATGTGTATAAGAGAAAGTACTGAAAATGGTATGCTCTTTTATGGAGATTCACTATGAACTCTTTCTGTCTTTTCAGTTACAGCAGTAGTTAATGTCAAGCAGATGTAACTAGGACCACAAAAAATCAACAGTGTTGAACACTCAGAATGTGTGTGGAGACACACTAAGCTCTTTACTTACCTTTCATCTTCACAAAATATTGTCAGGTCCGTATTATTAGTCTCCACTCCGTCGAGGAGAAAGCCAGGGCGCTGTGTTAGGCTGCCAATATGCAGCGGACAAAAGATCCAAACCCAGACTGAAAGCCACAACCCAACTCTGGAGCCCGGGGCGGGCGGCCACGAGGTCAGGAGATTGAGACCATCCTGGCTAACATGGTGAAACCCCATCTCTACTGAAAATACAAAAAATTAGCCGGGCGTGGTGGCGGGCGCCTGTAGTCCCAGCTACTAGGGAGGCTGAGGCAGGAGAATGGAGTGAACCCAGGAGGCGGAGCTTGCAGTGAGCCGAGATCGCGTCACTGCACTCCAGCCTGGGCGACAGAGCGAGATTCTGTCTCAAAAAAAAAAAAAAAAAAAAAAATTCTACCCTGCAATTAGAAATGGTGTATTCCTAAGTTGTGAATAGGACATCATGGTTCTGTGCTCCATGATAAGGTGAGGACTTCTTGATAGTCCCACGTGAAATTCAGCTCCAATGAGAACAGCAGTAGCTGCATTCAAGAGATGCATGCCCTTAATGTCATCCTACTGTGAGACGCAGGTGTCTCTCAGGCTGTAAGTTTAGAAAACAAGTTTAGGTGAGCTTCTCCACTTCTCAGTGCGCTGATCATTTATTTGCTCTATGTAGAGACTCACGTGGGTGGGAAATTCACATATAAAGGATAAAATATCTCTTGGTCTACCCTCACGTGTTACATCTCCATATCTATCTTAGATTAGGGGAGATTGGCATTTACATTTCTTTAAATATATAGCTAAGGAAATTGCATCAGTATTCAACGTTCCATTAACCAAAATGACACATTTAAAATAAGTGAATAAAAGGATATGTAAGCAGGTAAAATGCATATCATAGTTAGGAACCTACTTATAACTTTGACATTTTATAACACAAAACATCATATAAACTAAAAAAAGTAGAAAAAATAAGTTATATTTTAAAATAGCTTATGATTGCTGAGCTAAACAAATTTTTTTTGAGCTGAGATCTTCATTTTTTGAGTACTACAGTGAAGCCCATGGAATAGCCGTCAACTCTGCCGGTTGCTAGCTCTCGTTTCCAAGTTGTCTGGTGGAAATTCTCTGTTGACGGCAGCAACTATCTTTCTGCACAGCACCTCTGATTGATGGGTGCTGGCTGCCTGGACATTGGTGGAGAGGCCTCTGAGATCACTTCTTTGCTTTGGAGGAAACTGCTATGTGAGATTAATAGTGTCTGCAAGTGGCATCGGAGAAAATAAACCTTGGCACCCTCGTCTTCTCCAGTTCTCAGGACCTTGGTTGTGATGGAGTCCACTTGAAGTGGGAGTCCAAACAGGGACCCCTGCTGTCCGCTCTCAGCCACCCCAGTTCATGCTGCTCTTTCTCAGCGCATCAGCCCAGGTTCAACTGAATGAACCATTAAGCTCGTCAGGGAGAAATCGGAGGTTTCCGTTTAGGTCTTCCACTCCCTTGATGTTTGTTACACGAAGCTCAGATACAGTAGAAGCGGAATGCCGAATCTATCTAGTACTTAATTAGAGTCTTTTAAATATTTGACTTTAAGCTCTCATAGTTTCAGACACGCAAGTCTTCAAAGTCAAGGCCCATGTTTTAATTCAAAATTTCTTCTATTTCTGGTTCCCTGCTTTTCTCATGTTGTTAGTTTTTAAAAGGCAAGAGTAGAAAGAGCGAAAAACCTCTCTAGTTTTCTATTTGCTTTTGGAAAAATAATGTGTTTACCAGGAAATAGGAGTGCCCACTAAGATCAGATCCTTCTCCCCTTCACAGTAAATGGACAGCTAGTTAGCTGCTAGTAGACAGGCATGCATCTAGTTAGCACCTAATAGAGAGGTATGCAGCTAGTTTGCTGCAAGTAGATAGGTATGCAGCTAGTTAGCTGCTAGTAGAAAGGTATGCAGCTTGTTAGCTGCTAGTTAGACAGTTATGCAGCTAGTTAGCTGCTAATAGGCATGTAGCTAGTTAGCTGCCAGTAGATAGGTATGCACATAACAATCAAGAGAGTCATTTCAAATGGGAGAATAGTATCTATTAATTTTTGTAAAACTCCAGCTAGTAAATGATTTCTAATATGTAGTCATCTTTACTAGTCATTAGTATTTTTAATAAGTGCATTTGATTGCACAGTTTTTGTGACTATAAGTGCGAAAAACGGTTCATCTGCTTAAAAATAATCAATCATTGACTGAATATCTTAGTAATATTCTCCAAATTCCTAAAATCAGGAAGTATATTTTTAGAGCTAATTTAAACTATTCTTCTGTCAAACTCAACACTTATCGTTTAATATTCACCACAGGAAAGCATCTCGTTCTGAAAACCTGTATAGGTTTTAAGAGCATTTAAGTTTTGTTTTTCCCCTTCTCAAGATAAATTGATCCATTAAAAACAAACTCAAAAAAAAAACACCCTCTGGTAGTTCTATTTTTAGACTAAAAATGTTTCAGGCAAAAGGGGTCTCATATTTAGACAAGGAAGATGGAGAAAGGAAGAGAGAAAAAGAGAGTGCAAGCATGCCACACTATGCATTTGAGATTTAACAACAAAATTCCAATGATACAAGGGACTAGTTTTACTTATTTTTTCTAACAGATATTCACTTCATATTTTTGTATTTTAATACAAGTTCTCTAAGGAAAAATACGCATGAAGTGTTGATTTCATAGGAAGCTGAGGAGGGTAAGGAAAACGGTGTTTTTATTTTTAACTAGACACTGATTCTGGTGTTTACACATGTACTCTGATAATGCATGAAGATGATGTGAGAAATACTCTCTTGAAACCCACTGACTGGTTCAACCCCATGTGGCATGCTCACATGGTTGAGGCTGGGGCCTTGGTGGCTGCTTGCTCGCTGAGTATGTGCACACTCCTCCAGAAGCCAACTTGCAATCTAGGCAAGTGTCTTTGACCAGAATAGTAACTTGCAAATTACTCAATCCTGCTGTGCTCACAGGAGGAAACTGAGGCCTTGGCTCACAAATTCCAAGAATTTTTTCTAGGCATCCTACCTCCAACTGGCCACTTCCTTACTGGGACTTTTCCACACTCATGCGTTTGCCCAGTCATGCATTTGAGGCTCTGGTTTTGATGCTGTTTATCCACAGGCTTCTTGGCAGGATGGTGGGACTCGGGCAGGGAGGCTGGGATCCTAGGTGCTGGGCTGAAGTCAGCAGGTGGCAGACAGTGTATAGGTCACCTGCAGGAAGCAGTTGCTGAGAAAAATAACGATGGTCAAAAATGATGATTGGAATTCATTATTAGGCTCTCACATTTGCATAGGCCTAAAAATTACCTGGGACGGTTTTCTAAAGGCCAATTTGTGGATTTAATTGTGTCGATGGGGGATAAAACTCAGAACTTTTTGTTTTAAACAACAATTCATTGGACTCTTGGTAGGAGGTGGGAGAAGAGAGCAACAGGGCTGCACATGCTAGGTCCTGGGGAGTCTTGGGAAATCCTCTCTGGCCAACAGCACACAGCAGCAGCCACCCCAGAGGGGAAACAAATGTGGGTCTCTCACCGGCAACAACCCTCCCAAACGTTCACATTTCAGGTGTGCACAGCACTTTGGGAACCTTATTTTTTCATCTTCCAAGATAATTTTATGGTCTATTTTAATAAACTTTCCAAGAATAGAAATGGTAAGGAGTGGAGACACTGAAGATCAAAACTTCCTGGCCCAAATCCTTCCAGCAGGGATGGCTCCGTGGAAGTCACAGTGGAACCTGCTTCCAGCAGGGTTGGCCCCATGGATAGCTCAGTGGAACCTGCTTCCAGGAGGGTTGGCCCCGTGGAAGTCGCAGCGGAACCTGCAGAAGGAGCAGGAAATGTAGCAGTTGGCATGAAGGTGACCTCAATGACGTTTCCTAGGAGCATGCACTTTTTAGTTATTGTAATCTTTGTTGCGAAGGGGATTGTCATTTTTACCCTCTTTACCATTCCTGTGCTTCTTACCGAGAGGAACTGTCACACTGTCGAAAAGAGAATTCCACCCAGGACTTACCCATTTGCTGTTGGACATTCCATGAATGAACAGAAGAGTGAATAGAAATTTTCTATTTATAGTTTTGGAAACTTTCTTAGATTTCAAAACTGCATTTAGAATAAGGATTGAAGTTTATTCCATTTATATATTTTGTTACTCTCCTGCTTTTATCAGCACTATACTAAATCCATAGGATACAACAGTGACTTAGCTAAAGTTTTACTTAAGAAAATCACCATCCAACTAGCTAGTTTAATAAATGTACAATTTTTAATACAATGTGGTAAATGCATTCATGGAATCTGGAGCGCAGCCATCACAATGGTCCAAGTCTTTCTCTGTGCATGGTTTTCCATGCTTCTTATAGAACCTGCGTGCATTAGGAAGCCTCCGTGTTTTCAATCCTATTTTAACTGAGAAAAGACTGAAAGTCAAAGTCGAAATTACCCCCCTTGGGAAATGCACAAATAAGTGATGAGTCTGGGATTCTCTCTGGCCTTCTGCCTCCAAATGCAATGTGCATCCCACTGGTAGTTAAGGAATTTGAAAGCGTCTGTTGCTTCATAGCAGTTTGGGGTCTGACCTTCTCTCTACCGGGGTGGAGTTTCTGGTTGGCAGCCTTTATTCAGACTATCTCTTTCCAAGCTGGCAGGACTATTTAGGGCATTAGTATTTATGCAAAGATAGAACAGAACTGCAATTACCTGTTCATCTCTTCCCCAGCATGATTGTCAGTCACAGCGAAGCCATGCTTTAAAAGCCTTGTCAATCAGGGTCCATCGCACGTGAAGCTCTGCCTTCCTGTCTCGTCAAGCGCTGAGCTTCACGCGTGTCTCTTAAACAAAATGCCTCATCCTGGACATTTCATTGCTCTGTCTCGACCTGCACTCTCAAACTATCTTTATTCCCTGTTTTAAAAGGAGGAAACGGTGTGATTTATCCATTTATTAGGCACATAGTCCTAATAGCTAGACACAGAACAGCGTTACTGAAATGGGGGTGGTGTCCATAATCATGTGCCCGTCCAGCAAGTCTAACTCGGACGAAAACAAGTACATTTTATTCCTCACCAGGTTTCTCAAAGAAGCTAAATTCCCTCCACCTCCACGTACGCCGGATTTCTCCTCTTGTGCAGCTGGTCTCAATGCCTCTGCCTCTTACGCTACCTTCTGCTTAGGAAAACGAAGCTTGTTCATTGCAGCCAGGGCTTCAGGTCAACGACTAAATTGTTCTTGCTTCGGCAGACACATGTTCATGTGCTGAATCGCATCAGTGAGATTAGCCCCATTTGTCCCTGTAATAGAGATACAGGTGGGACCAGGGAAAGGAGCCAGGAAAACGTGCTCAAATTCTCCATTTTCTGTCTAGAATGCACTGCAGTAAATTATCGAATTTTCATTTATTTGGCGACTTTTATGAGCAGAAGTGAGTTAACTTTTTTGCTTTGTTCCTGTTGGAGGGCATAAAGGAAGTCTGCAAAGCGGCTCGAGCAGCGGCCACTGCACCAGCCTGGAGTTCGGAGGGGACCCTGGAAGGCAGGGCCTGGGCCTTGACCGCGTGCAGCTCCAGGGACTGAGACCCCGCCTTTGTGAAATGAACACACACGGTACCCTCCTGTGCGCCCTGCAGGTCCAAATTTGGCGATCTCCCTCTCCAATACATACGGTAGAACTGAAAGGGTGTAAGCCTTGTGATAAAATAACCATGTTCAGAGAACTCTAAGGTTCTTACAGGAGCAGAACTATCATTATTGGTGACTCAACCCCTGTCACAGAAAAACAGCTATGGAGAAATGTTGAAGGGAAAAGATGAAACCCCAAAATTAAAGAAAATAGAAAGAAAATGGGGAGATACCCTGAGGCGAGAGACCCGCAGGGAGAGAGAGGATGCTGCTTGGCCGATGGGCAGCCCAGCAGGGCTGAGGAGCTTGGCCCCCACCCGGTCTGGGCCTGGGGAAACACGATTGCCCTCATCTCTGCAGACAGAGCCCTGCCCCGGTGCCCACAGGAGCCAAGTCAGCAATGCTTATGTGGAGCTCTCAAGACAGCAGGTAGCCACTGACCCCAGACAGCTGTTTCCCTCCCATTCCCCAGCAACCATGCTGGCCCTGTGGGGCCCCCGTCGGCTGGTTCCCAAGTGTAACAAGCCCCAGAGAGAACCTTCATCCCCACCCAGTCCAGAACCCACTGGGCTTCCCCACCGCAGGTGGTCAACGTGGCAGCAGTGGATGGGGCGGCCACCGCCCAGGTGCCCAGCCCAGATGCTGTGGAGTCCCTGCTTCCCTCTCCCTGTCATGTCCAGGGACATGTCCCATGGGGTCTGTCCTTGTCTGCATCCAACCCCTGCTGGCTCTCCCTTCACCCCAGAATCTCAGTCCCAGTCATTCTCCTGATCCCCATCCTTTTCTGGGTCACTCGACCCTTTTCCTGGACACCTGCACTTGCCTTCTGATGCCTGCCTGGCTCTTCTCGTCCCAAATATCAGCACCCCAAAGGTTCCCCTTTGTATCTTGCTTTATTTACCCTAGTGACATTTATGACTTCTTGTCCTTACTCTACATATGCATACAATTACCTCAAAATGTCTTTTCCACAATAAATGACAACAGGGCTGGAACTTGGTTAGTGTGGTTGCTGTGGGGGGCCTGGCTCAGGTATCCTTTGTAGAACCCAGCTGCAGGGAGGGGCTGCCTGACAGTCCAGCTCTGGGGAGGGGTTTACCTGACAGCCCAGGTGTGGGGAGAGTGTTATCTGACAACTTCAGTCTCTACCTTTCTGGACTTATCTCTGTATTCACATCAGGGCTCCGTTTCCATCAGACAGCCCCCAGTCCATGACTCAGCACCATGGGGTGCTTGTGCCTCCCATTCCCGCAGTCACCAGATCCCTCTTGGATGATTTAGCTGAAGGCCTCCTCTCAGAGGAGTCTTAGAGTGTGTCTTTGAGTCTCTTCCTACCTTGCACCACTTCTTCCTGCCCCTCCCTTTTCAGGTGGTGAGGCTTGACCCATGGTGGAAGGTGCTCCCTGACAGCCCATGTTACCCTAGTTCATCCCTTACAGGCATATTCCCCAATAGACTTCTTACACGTTGGTTTCACTCCTGTTTCTTAAAGGACCTGAGCTAACCCAGGAGTTACCAGGATTGGTCTGGGAAACATGCACTGTGATGAGACTTGGCTGGACCACTGACCACAGGCTGTGAAGCAGGTGCCATCATGGGCACACCCTCACAGCCAGCCTGGTTCATCTTTGCATGCCCCGTACCTGGAACAAACCAGGGCACAGTGACCACTCACAGCACGTTTATACAAAGAATGAAATAATGAACCAGCCTCAGTGAATTAAACCAAACCAAACTAGTTTAAAAGCCCCTCGAAGCCTAGGGAGCAAGAGGCAAAATCTCCAGGTGGTCTCTGTGTGTCCCCTCTGTCTTCAGAGTCGACATTTAAGGTCCACAAACGTGACAACCATGGATGTGAAAGTCATCTGAAACCTTTGCTATTTTTCATCCGAAAGATATTCTGACTGCATATGAATAAACATACTGATTTCTACCCACTATGCGCTAAACTTTCTAAGAAGGCTTGTAAAGTGAAAATGAGAAGTAGATTGCGTGGTTCACGCTTTGGGCATGATGACAGTCCTGGGAAGCACCACAGACTCCCAAACAGCTTCCAATATGAGACAGCCCACTATTAAACAATTTTGGAGTGATATGGTTATTTACTGCCTTAAGAAAGGAAATGGTTGTTACTCACAGGGAAGGCATTAGACAGGACGGATCTCAAAGTGGGGGTGTGAAGTGCAGGAGCAGTTTCTTCTCTGCATGGAAATGTGTAAATATATACACACACACACACACACACACACACACATAATTTTAGTCTATGCACAAAGTAAAAAAATAAAGGCTTACACTGAAAAGTAAAATGTAATTTGCCATAAATTCCTTACTCCATTCACTCTCCTCTAAGTAGCAATTGACTTGATTCTTAGTGTTCCTTCTGAAAGGATTTTTGAGTACGAGTCAACAGGATAGCTTTCGTTTTAACACAAATAGAATCAAATGGCATATGTACCTTTGTACATATTCTAACGAAACATTAGAACATTTCCTATCAGTACCTAGAGAACCATCTCATCCTGTTTGAAGGTTGATTGCATTTCATTGTATTGAAATTCATAATTTCATAATTTATGAAATACATATTTATTTTAATCAGTTTTAATCATAATATATTTTAATGGGTTTTATATTAATTGCCTATTTATGTAGGTATTTTAGAAGGTTTTTTCTGTTACCCAAAATTCTGGGATTTTCTCTCCTCTCTCTCTCTGAGTACGTGTGAGTGTGTGTGTTTGGGGGTGTATGTGTATCTATGTGCATTTGTGTGTGTGTGACTGTATGATGAGTGTGTGGGGGTGTTTGTGCGTGTGTGTGCAATTTTGAACCTTTATTTTGCTAGTGCCTGTGAAACTTGGAATTTCTTCTTGGAATTCAACCATACTATGATTGCTTGGATATTAATAAAGGAACATTTTAGGATACCAAGAGACAAAGACTGGTCCTTCCTGACAGTGCCGTTAATTAATTCCTAGATCTCTCTGTGGTGTAATCCACTCAGTGCCTGAGGATGAAGTTTTATTCATCACCCTGACTGTCTTGGGCCCGCAGCTACTGAGTGGCTGGTGAAACACATCCTAGTACACAGGGGTGGTTTATTTCGCAATGCCTCCACACTTTTTGTTTTCCTCAGGGTAGAAGTTGAGTACCCAAAAATATATACAATTGTGACCCTTTTGACTCAGGACAGAAGAGTATTACATGGCTGTCAAATGAGGGAATACATAAATTAGTTCCAGACACCACAAGATGGGCTTACCCTGAAATTATTTTACAAACCTAAAAGTAAATAGAGTTTCAATCAGAGAATGAGGTTTAACAGAATGTGCAGATACCAGCCAGCTCTGCAGAGGCCCCCCAGCCCTTTGTGTGGCCTGCCGAATACCAAAGGAACACAGCAGGATTTCATTATTCACTTTTAGTTCAAGAGGAAGGGGTGGTCAGGGGTTGATATTTAAGGAGCTTTTGTTGTTGTTGTTGTTTTGGCCTTCCTTCCTTCCTTCCTTCCTTCTTTTTTTTTTTTTTTGACAGAGTCTCACTCTGTCACCCAAGCTGGAGTGCAGTGGCGCTCACTGCAACCTCTCAGCTCACTGCAACCTCCACTTCTCGGGTTCAAGGGATTCTCCTGCCTCAGCCTCCTGAGTAGCTCGGATTATAGGCATGAGCCTCCATGCCCAGCTAATTTTTGTATTTTTAGTAGAGATGGGGTTTCACCATGTTGGCCAGGCTGGCCTCAAACTCCTGACCTCAGGTGATCCACCTGCCTCGACTTCCCAAAATGCTGGGATTACAGGCATGAGCTACCACACCCCGGCCCTGGTCTTTCTTAAACATATCGATAAAGTTAAATTATTAGCAATGGAATTGACGTGTCAAAGAAAATGTGTTTTAGATTTTGAAAGATATTTGCAAATTAACTTCCAAACAGTGGTAAGCAATTTGGGTACATTAAGCTTCTGGAAATAACAAGGAAGTATTGTTGAGAACAGGTCTCAGGGACAACGGTCCAGCCACTGCTGAGACCATGGCTCCCCTACTGCTCTTTAATGCTGAGCCAATGGTGGGCCTTAGAAGAGAGCTGTCCTACATATCCACGGTTTTGCTTTCTGTGGTTTTAGTTGCCTGCAATCAACTGGAATCCAAGAATATTAAACGAAAAATTTCAGAAACAAGCAATGCATAAGTTTTAAATTGAGCTCCATTCTGAGTAGTGTGATATAATCTGCTCCCATCCTGCTCTGTCCCACCCAGAACGTGAATCATTGCTTTTTGCAGCATATCATACTGCAGACACTCCCCGCCCATTAATCACTTAGCAGCTGCCATGATGATTAGATTGACTGTGCTGATATCGCAGCTGGTGTTCAAGTGACCCTTCTTTTACTTAATAGTGGCCCCATGTGCAAGAGTAGTGAGGCTGACAATTTGGAGATGCCAAAGAGGAGTTATTAAATGCTTCCTTTAAGTGAAAATGCAGAAGTTCTTAACTTGAGGAAAGAAAAGATATATATATGTATATACTGAGGTTGCTAGGATTTCCTGTAAGAACGAATCTTCTGTCCATGAAATTGTGTAGAAGGAAAAAGAAATTCAAGCCAGTTTTGTTGTTACACCTCAAAATGCACAATGTACAGGCACAGTGTGTGATAAATGCTTAGTTAATATAGAAAGGGCATTACATTTGTGGGTGGAAGACATGAACAGCAATGTATTTCAATTGATGGCAATCTGGGGTTTCAGGCGTCCCCTAGTGGTCCTGGAACATATTCCTGTGGATAAGGGGAGGGAGTGACTGTAGTTACCGGTGCAGACCTCAAATTTGTAATTACTGGATTCACTGAGGAGCTTTCCCCACACTCCTCTGAAGAGTGGCTGCTCATTGGTGCTTTCGGGGACCATGATCCTATGATCTTAGCAGTCACCCAAAACTTCCATTTTATGCCCGTGGAAATTGAAATTCCAATGAAAACTGAAATAACCAGAAAATATTATTTAGCATACCCCGTGATGATTGGTAACAATTAAAGTTTAAATAGAATGTCTCTTCCCCGTTTGATTATAAAATATTGTATCGGGACACATTAATTAAATATCATTCTGGACTATAATCTCTGCTTATTTCATCAGGGGGCTTATACAACATTGAAGAGAAAAATTATAAGATTATCCTTTACTATATTTCTTAAAAAGACAGTTTTTTAAAAAACTAAAAACAATTTTAAACGGAAACATTGTCGATGTGTTTCCTGACTCATGACAAACATTGTTATAAAACATCATCCTAGAGCCTCTGCCAAATTCTAGCACCTGAATTGAGACACTGTTTTTGACAAATGCATTGCTAATTACTTTTGGCACCACTCAGCTCTTAGAATGAATAGCTGCTATAGACAGTATTACCCTGAAACAGAGTGACACCAAACAGTTATTGTAAGAAGGGGCAGGTGGAACACCCAGCCGTCGCCTCCATTAGTCAGGACAACGATATGTGATTGCACCTCCTTGTCCTGTAGCTGCAATCCCATCACAGTTCAGTAGTTCAGTCCACATGCTCCACAATTATGCCACCATTCCCAAGCGTGCACACACACATACACCACACACACACATACACCACACACACACACACACACACATGCACTCAACCAATAGCAAATTACCACTACCTGGGTGGCTTAGGTGGCTTAAAACAACAGAAATTTATTCTCTCCCAGAGCTGCGGATGAGAAGTCCAAAATCACACCTTCTGGAAGCTCAGAGAGAGGGTCTGTTCCATATCTCTGTCCCAGCTCTCTCCGCTTCCTGGAATTCCTTAGCTTCATGGATTTGATCTCTGCGTCCATCTTCACATCACCCTCCTCTCTTCGTCTCTTTGTCTCTCTGTGTCTCCTTCTTTGTCTCTGCAAAGACTCTTATTTCAAGCACAGTCACATTCTGAGGTTTTTGGGGGCACCATTTGACCCACCACACTTACTGAGGACGGACCCCTTGCCTCCGCTCCAGGTTGCAGGAGCTGACTCTTCCGTAGCACACTTGAGTTTGTCACTGGCAAAGTCAAAAGCTGTTTATGAGGTCCTACGCAATTCTCTTCCTTTGCACGTATAAACATTTTCTCAGCATGGCCTCCCCATTCTCTCCCTGACACTGCCATCCAGTGAATTTTGTCATAATTTAAATTATCACTGCTTCCCAAATTGGAATGTATAAAAATTTAATTAAAGTTGTGTTTAAAGTGTTGTCTATTTCATATGGGAAAGACACATTGGACGATAATTTCAAAGAGTGTCATATTTTTATCACATTTTGCCAGCAAGGCACTAACCACCCTTTGTTCTGGACTATCTTTTCAAGGATGTCTGTGCAGTTAACACTGTTGGAAGATACAGATGTTGTCTTCCCGGGGAGCCAAGGGCAGCAATGCTCACTGCTCACAATAACATATTTGGGTTCCTAAGTCTCTGAGATTTTCTCCTGTCATGCAACCCACTGTGTACACGTTTCATCGAGGGCGTTCCACACCATTTTTCTGGGCAAGGAGAATAAACACACATGTGGGATGCCCAGGCACTGCCATCGTTGATACGGTCCTTTGGCTCTGACCCAGGAATCTTGTGTCTTCCGACAGCATCCTTGAAGTTGTGACAGGCTAGTTTGTTAGCTCCACATGGAGTAAAATATCATACCATTTACAGCTCTCAACAAGGTATGGTGTTTCTTCCTTACTTTCTTTCTTCTTCTTACTAGCAATTTGCAATGAGGTGAAGGGGGCAATGAAAAAAACATGTTAGAATCACTTAGACAAAATTATTAAAAAACCTATTTTCATCTCTGCTTGGAGGGCATACTTGTATCTGCTTGGTTAGAGTGAGCAGACTGGCCAGGATTATTCAATCAATCACTGATTCATACTTCTTTCCTTATAATACCTCTATACTCTCAGAACCTCTAACATTGTTTCTAGGCATAACTATATTTCAAGAAATGACATCTCCTTAGCACTAGAACTTCTACCTACCCAAACGTCCATCACAAGCTATATATCTTTTGAGCTCTGTGAACCAAACATGTGATCATCATGGCTTTTACCTCTTTTATTTTCCCCCCAAACAATGTATTTTGTGTTTCTCATTTGTTTAACTGGCATCATTGTTCTTTTGGTTATGGATAGAACTCTTACATTTATTAATATTTTGGGTCTAGCCATAAATTGAGTGAATGGAATTTATAATTATAATTTATATTCACACTCATAAATTGAGTGTGAATCCCACACTCCCATATCTAGGTGAAGAATTAAGGGATAGAGATGAAGTTGCTTATGTAAAGTTACATGAAAACTGCCAGGAGTATGTTACTTTCACTCAGTACTTTGACTCTTATTTTAATATTTTCTGCATTGCAACCCATTTATTTTTGCCATCAGATCCCAAAAGATGACAGATTGATTCTATATTAATGAATCCCCCTAAATTTGTCTCTTTCTCTTTGTTCACATATATATTCATGTATGTGTGTGTGTATATATATATATATATGTTTTACTAAGGAATGTCATTCATTATTTATAGTTTGCCTTTTATACTTTTATTATTAGAGTTTTTTGCAAGAAATTTTGAATACCAATTTTTGAGAAAATATTTGATTTGTGAAAGAGAGATCCCATTAACTCTGGCACAGTTCTATTTTCTGGCATAAAATGGAACTCCAGAAATTTCAGACTTGTTTTGCAATCCTCTGTCTGATTATGCTGATCTTTCTCCTTATGGATCTTACCTTTGTGGGCTCTGGGCTCACACAGCTTCTTTGAGAATGGATCATGGGGAGGTCTGGGCTCTGCACACACTTAGGCTTGAGATTGCCATAGCTCGGTGGAATGTCTGGGTGATCTCTGCAGATGCTTTCTGTACAAGACCTGCAGTCCACCTTGTTGCATGAAGAACAGGGCTGTCCAGGTGTCCCATAGCCACCCCTGCCCCACCAGCAGTGGTGGCCTCCAGGTGGCCCTAGAGGGATGCTCACTTGCGGTTCCTCACATGTGGACTGCAGATGTATTATTCACTTGACTAGGCAGCTTCCAAAGCATGTGCTTGGTCGTTTAATGACTACTTGTTTTATGAATTTTTATTAGCACTAGCTGCATTGTGATGGTGTCAATTGCCATACCTCTGTCTTGATCTTTCTTTCTATCTCCCTCTATATTTCTGTCTCCTACCTGGGATTTACTGCAGTGGCCTCTCTGGACTACATTGTAGATCAAGAACAGCTGCCAATATCTGTCTCTAACAGTGGGACCTAACTTAGAGAACCTAAACCAATATAACTTACAGTCCTTGTGTTAAGCAGTTCCAGTCTAACCATACATTCATGCTCTTGTAATAAACAACTCTGGGATGAAGGATTCTCCCGGACTTTGGGCTAAACACTTCGGTGATGAGGCAAATATACCTGGGTTATGGCTTCCAGGAAGTACTACTTCTAGAAGACAAGGCTGAGAAGCAACTAAAATAGCATCAGCACCTTAGTTACCAGAACTGACATCTTCCTCATCACCACTCACCCACAGTCCCTGCTTTGTTCTGCTCACCAACCCAGAGTTATTGTCATAAACTCTCTGAAACCTGAACCAGTTCTTGACCTTGGATAATCTACTTTTAAATCATCCAGCCTAGGCCTTAAATACCTATAAATATCTTGGTATTATTTTCCCTTTTCGAGATACTACTAAGACTCTGTTAAGACGTTCGTTTCCCTTATAGCAGTAAGTCTCATTCTTACTTTACATGATCCATGGTCTTTCGTGGTGTTCTTTCTGAGGGAGTCAACAGCAAGTGCCTTTCTGGGCTTTCTTACTTGGGGTCATCTTTCTTATCTTCACCACTGTGATTAATACTCTTGGCTTCAGCTTCTCCTTGAGGTCAGCATTTGTGTTTCCCCTGCCATGAAGATATTTTTGAATTATTCAACAGGCAAAAGGCCAAGCACAGAGATCTGTGCTGCACTGATGTAGTTCTATTCCTGTTGCCATATGCTATGGTCTGAAATGTGTGTGTCCCTCTAAATTTCTATGTTGACATCCTAACCCCAAAGTAGTGGTTTTCCAAGGTGGGGCCTTTGAGAGGTGAGAAGGTCCTGAGGGTGGAGCTTTCATGAATAAGATTAATACTGTAATAAAAGGGGCTCCAGAGAGTTGCCTCACCTCTTTCCCCACGTAAGGGTGAAGTGAGAACTTCCATCTGTGAACCAGGAAGTGAACCCTCACCTTACGCCAAATCTGCAGGCATCTTGATCTTGGACTTCCAGCCTCCAGAACCATAAGCTATAAATGTCTGTTGTTTAAGCCACCCAGTCCATGGTGTTTTGTTATGGCAACCCGGACAGACTGAGATACCCAGCACCAGCACCCCAGTAGACAGTTGCCGATGTATATAAATATATTCTAACTCTAATTTAGTTCTATAAACTATGAAGTATGCTTTGAAAACTTCTCGGATGCCACAGTTCCTTGGCATTGGTTTTAAGTGCTAATGTAAACTGAATATGATGTAATCTTTTCCATTTTAAAAATGAACCAAAAGCCCCAGAACAACACTCTCCTATGGAAACTTCTGCACCCATGGGAACGTTCTGTACCTGTGACCTTCAGAACAGCCTCCCATAGCTGCATGTGGTTAATGCACAATTGAAATGCAGCGAGCACAACTGAGGAGACACATTTTCACCTTTTATCCAATATCAATTCAATAAAATTTAAATTTAAACATCCACAGGTAGCTACTGGCTACTCTACTGGACAGTTCAGATCCTAAATGTTTATGAGAATGCATTGTCTTCTTCATTATTATTTAGAATATTACCCAATATAAGTCAGGCACTGTGGCTCATGCCTGTAATTCTAGCACTTTGGAAGGCTGAGGCGGGCAGATCACCAGAGTTCAGGAGTTTGAGACCAGCCTGGCCAACATGGTGAAACCCTGTCTCTACTAAAAATACTGTGAAAATGAAGGTGAGCAAATATATATTAATAGAATTTATTACATTAACCTTCTTATTTTCTCTTTCTGGTTCTTGGCATTTGTTTTAGTGGACTATGGATATCATCTGGTGTCATTTCCTTCTATTAGAAGACATCTGTGCTCCCACACACTATCTTTATGCTGTTAGTGTCAAATACATTGCATTTCTCTTTGTGATAGGCTCAGCAATACAATTATATGCATATTGTTTTATATAACTGATTTTCTATCAGTTAAGAGACAAAATGTGCTTATACAGTCTTTGAAATTACATAGCTACTTATACCAGTTCTCTTAGTTTTATTTTAAATGTGAATTCAAATGCCTATTTTGAATCACTTATTTTTAACCTAAAAAATTTTAAAATATTTATTGTAAGAATGGTCAACGAGCAACAAATTCTTTCAGTTTTTGCTTATCTTGGAATGCATTTATTTTACCTTATTTTTTAAATGGTAGTTTTGCTGGATATAGATTCTAGTTTTTTGTTTATTTGATTGTTTTTGTTTTTTGTTTCCACCACAGTGAATGCGTCATCCTACTGCCTTCTGGCCTTCATTGTTTCTAATGAGAAGACAATTCCTAATCTCCTTGGAGGTTTCTTGTTGTTTTATTTTCTTGCTGCTTTCAAATTTTTCTCTTTGTCTTTGCCTTTCAGCAGTTTTTAAATATTGTGGCTGGTTGTGATTTCTTTCATTTATTATACTTGGAGTTCACTGATCTTCTTGGATGTATAGATTAATGCTTTTCATCAGATTTGGGAAGTTTTCTAACATTACTTTTTCAAATAATCTCTCTGTCCTCCTTGCAGGAGCCCCATAATGTGTATATTGAACCACTTGGTCATGCCCCAAAAGTCCCTTAGGCTTCATTTCTTTCTCTTCATTCTTTTTTGTTTTTGCTTCTCTGACTTGCTAGTTGTAAGTGGCCTACCTTCAAGTGTGTTGGCTCTTTATTCTGCCTGTTCAAATCTGCTATGGATCCCTTCTAATAAATATTTCATTGCAATTATTCCATTTTGTAGCTCCAGTATTTTTGTTTCATACCTTTAAAAAATAATTTATGTCTCTTATTTGATATCCTCATTGTGTCTATTTATTGTCTTTCTGATATCTTTGATTTTTTTTTGTCTGTATTTTTCTTTAGCTCTTTGGTTATATTTAAGAGTTTTATTTTAAGTACTTTTTGAGTAAGACTGATATTTGAGTTTCCTGAGGGATGATTTCTGTCAACTTACTTTTTTTCTCTGAAAGCTGATTGTTTTTCCTGTTTTTTCTCTACGCTTTGGAATTTAGTGGTTGTTATTGTTGTTGGAGAATGGGCACGTGAAAAACAAAAGCCCTTTCTACATTTTGCACACTAACTTTGTCATTGGCCGGCACTTCTCCAATTAGCTGGATTTGCTCTGATCCTGGGGATCTGCTGAAGGAAAAAGCTTGAAGTCTTTTCAGGACTTTTTTGGAACATGTATCTTTCCTTGGCCTGTGTGTGTGGCTTTCTCAATTCTCCCGTACATGTGGCTGCTTTTGAATGTCTTTTTTTTCGTTAAAGAGTTTCACCCAGTGTTTCCTTAAGCCTTGAGTGTTCTGCTGTTTATATCCAGCAGTTATCTCTTGCCCCAGAAATGTTAATCTCATGGCAGCTTCCACAGTAGCACTCACTACTTTTCCTAACTAGGATTTGAGTTAGGCTATACCAAGATCCATTCTTCAGGTAGCCCCTAGACAGCTTAGACTGTGGGAAATAAGACTATTTTTCCACATCCCATAGACCAAGATGACTCTGCACCAGGTAGAGGGTGAGGCAAGAATAAGTAAAATGCTCCGACATTCTTCCTAGAATTTTGATGATGGCTTTTTCTTGATTAGGATTCACCTGGCTGCTCTAAACCCTAGGCTGCTTTCCAGAGCTCCTGTGTATTAGTTTGGTCATTCTCTTGTTGCTGTATTTTGATGTTTTCAAAGGGGAATAAGAGCTGGGACTTCACATCTACTACACTGTTGATGTTACTGTCAGGCAAAGGTAGTTTTGAGGACAGTATTTTTTTTTTACTAGTTCTTAATAGTTATATTAGTTATCTCTGATAAACTAGGCATCATATGCATACTTTATTGCTTTTATTTGCTGTAGTTATCCACTTAATTGTTTTACACCAAAATATTCTTTGTTTTTAAGACTACCCTTAGGCTGGAACTTCCCCAGATTTTTTCAAATCAAGTCAGTTGCTGTAGGGAGAACACTAGTGCTTCCTGTTCTTATGGATTGCCTCCCCTCTTCTGAGCCACTTTTGTGGGAGACGGGGAGCAGACTCTGGTTCCGTGGAGGGGAGTGGATTCTGGCTCTCTTCCCTTGTTTTCCTGGCATAGAAAATCTTTCCTGCAAGTGCTGGATCAAGGGCTATCAGGACCCCAGATTTTTGCCTGCTGTGCCTGGAGTACAGCCTCCACCCTCTACTGGGGGCTAGGTAGAGGAAGGGAACTGCCAGCCTCTCAGCCATGAGCACCAGTAATTTAGACTCTGAAACTCAGGGGTTGAGTAGGTGAGACATGCTGGTGGCATGCCCTTTTTGGTGGGATACTGTAGCCCTTAACTGGGATCTGAGCAAAAGAAGATCCTTATCTCATTGGTCCCAGCCACTGCGAGTGAAGCACTGCCCAGCTGAGTGAGGGAGGGACGGCTGGGGAGCAATCATGGCCCAAGTAGAATAGACTCCTGCTGTTCTTACTGAGTCTTCGTATATTTTCTCGAATAAATGCTTCCTCATTTACTACAATTCAAAAAACTTTATTTTTACTATTTTTAAAATAATTTTCACTAGTGATAATTGTTTCGCTGGAAACAGGTCCACAGGCTCCTCATGCCACCCTCCTATAAGCCAGAGTTCCTTTTATTCTAATAACACAAGTAAACCCTAAGTCTACGCAGTTTTCAGTGAGATCTTATAGAAATTATGATATAAGCAATCCTTTCTCTCAGATGGAAGGGTTACTATTTTCAGTGAAGAAGAGTCCTCAACACAATATGAAGCTCAGGGAAATGAGCTGAACTTATTTTTGCAGTTGGGAGAAATAAAAATGCATTAGTGTTGTGTTGCTGGCAACCACCATAAAGTGCCTATCTTAATATATCAGTGTTAACAATGACATAATGCACCCAAGGGAGGTACAGCAGCAAAGAAACAATTAACTTACCACTTAGTGCCTTCATTTTGCCTGCAGTGAAAGACTAATGAAATCAGAAGTGGCAGCCCTGCGCAGGCCTTGTTCTGCTCTCCCGGCTCATTATCAGCTCACAATGGCTGAGGATAACGGCAGAGCAGATTACTTCTGTAAAACAGGTATTAGAACAGCTCCGAGTACTCTGGAGCCATCTGCCAGCATTAACGTCTTTTCATTAGTTTGTATCAGATTTTCTCCAGTCTCTAAAATAGCTAGACTAGAGCCAGATCAGGTAGACTACAGCAAAACTTTGTCTGGGAGGAGCCACGTGTCTGTGCTCAGGACACAGTCCAGGGATTCCTCATCTTCAGCTCAGAGAAAGGTGAGGAATTCGGTTTAAGGTTCCTTCAAGGTTATTCCATTTTAGAGACGAGGGGACCATAACAAAAAGGGGCTGACATAAGTGTTTTCTTGTTGTTTTACTTACAATTGTCTTTTGTTAATTTCTTTGGTTAATTTCTTTTGTTGTCTGGGCCATTCCAGGAGCAATGTTATTTTTCCTTTCTGGTTTTATGAGAATTTATTTTAGTAAATAGTTCACAAACCCTATCATGACAGGTGAGTTCACTTTGTGTTGGGTTTGCTCTGATAACTAGTATTCCAAACTCATTGTTGTGTTTTGATATTCTATTCTTGTTTTTGTTTGGAGTGCTTGTTTTCCTTTGAATGCTTAAATCCTTCCCTTGCTGAAAGTTCTTTTTTTTTTTTAATCTAGCAAAACTATTTTTTTCTGATTCCTTTTTCTGTCAATTGCTCCTCTTTTATCTTGCATATTTTGTATCCGTGCCACCCAAGGTATCAGTGTGGAAAATTCACTCATGTCCTTTCTTTATCTGTGGGTTATATAGCGCATGCTGCCGCACGACTCTCTTTTTTCTGCTTAATCCTTTTGTTTCCAATTTTGTTTGTTCATGATTAAGTGGAAAGAAATATTTTTCCTTCTTTTGTTCTTTCATCTTTTTTTTTACTTCATTCACATAATACAGTTAGTGTTCATCACATTAGTCTAATTTGTCAACTTTGTCCTTGCTTTCAATGTGCCATATTGAGATAGCATAGAGTTTGGTTTTGTTTGTTGAGTTAATCTCTAATTTTTCTTCTGTTGGAAGCATTTATATCATTTAAGGTTTTTTGGTGTTTTCTTGCTGTTTGTATTGTTTTCCATTTGCTGCTAATGAGACAGATTGTGTTTGCTTTTCTTTCCTTTAGTGAATTTAAGGCATACAGGTAATTTTTTATATCATTTATTGATTTTTAAAATTATACGCTATATATTCTACTTTGAAGTGCAAGGAAACAGAGAAATTGAATCACAGAATTCTCTTCCCTTCTCTTCATCCCAACCAATCCCTAAGGGAATGAACGTGACATAAATTTTAGAACCAATAGAATCAAAGAATGGAGCACTGAGGGTTCAATGCCATTCATCTCCAAATTTCAAAACACAGGCAACAATCAAATAAGAGTGTGGAGCTGGCAGACATGGCTCACGACCTGCTGTGAGCTCACAGAGCCGAGGTCCTTAACCAAACAGGTTCCAACAATTACTGTGGTTCTCCTCATCGTATTCCTGTTTCTATTGGTCTAGTAGGAGGAGCTGCTGAGGAAAAGCAGGCAAAATTGATTTTAAAACACAAGTTGCTGACTAGGGACATACTCCTGAGTAGCGGCATGGGCCGTGGCTGTAGACATGTAACAGAACTTCAAAAGTCAGAAATATACTATTTTTAATTCGTCAAGTTCTGTAACATGGTTTTCTTTCTATGGGTATAATTTTGCCCTTTTTCACCTTAGAACTTGATTTAAATGTGTTGAATGCTCACACAGGGGAATACCTTTTTTGTTCGCCACAACTTCTTCACTCCTGACTGCTTTTATTCTTCACTTCGTTTGTCAGTGTGTCTTAAGTTTTTTGCTGGTCAAAGGAGCCTTGTTTATTGCTTTAATACTAAAATACATGGATGGGTTTAACTGCTCTACCTTTTAAGTATGTGTAGCTATTGGTTTAGTTTAGCAACAATTGCTGCTGTAGAGAACAGGGAGTCTCCCTGAAGTGTCTCTAGAAACGGGTTTTTGGCCGGGCTTGGTGGCTCACGCCTGTAATCCCAGGACTTTGTGAGGCCAAGGCGGGTTGATCACGAGGTCAGGAGATCGAGACCATCCTGGCTAACAGAATGAAACCCCGTCTCTACTAAAAATACAAAAAAATTAACCCAGCGTGGTGGTGGGCGCCTGTAGTCCCAGCTATTCGGGAGGCTGAGGTAGGAGAATGGCGTGAACCTGGGAGGCGGAGCTTGCACTGAGCTGAGATCGCGCCACTGCACTCCAGCCTGGGCGACAGAGCGAGACTCCATCTCAAAAAAAAAAAAAAAAAAAAAAAAAAGAAAGAAATGGGGTTAGAATGGACAACAGAATGTTATTCCTTGTAGGTGAGTATTTTTTTTCTTTACTTCCAGGAATTCTACATAAATCCATGTTTATTTATAAGTTCAGCTCATTCTGCCCCTCCCAGCTGAAGCTTGGGAATGGGAAGTTGACATCTGAGTGTGCAGCCTTGGGCTGTGTGGGGCTGATGCTACACGTGGCAGGGGGTAAGCTGTGGCTATGACATGTCACCACCTTCCCACTGGAAGGTTAGTTACAAATATCTGGATTTCCATTGGCATTGGATCTGCAAGTGCAAGAAACTCTTCAACCTCTGTAATTTGGTTTCTTGCAATTTCTATCTCATTATGAAAAACTAAAATAATACCATGGTATGATGTAGTCCAATGAAAATAAGAATTTCTGAGTTTGTCACATCCTACAGTAACCAGCTAATTCTCCTCTACTGTCTTTTCTAGTAATTATACAGGCATCTCAATTTTGACTAGATTGTAACCATATGAAGATTAAAACACACTTCTTATTTTCTTTCAGGCTGTCCCTGACAGCCTAATACCTGTCAGGGACTCAGAAAATATTTGTTTGAAAATGACAGGATAGTCCTGTTTTATAATTCTGAAAGTTTAAGTGACACGTTTTAGTACATCGTATGTTATCGTACAGTCATTATTGATCACTCACTATTTGGAGTAATTTGTCAATTAAGGTCAGTGGATAATCTTAATGTTTACAGTAAAAAGCATCTCCACATTTTCAGAGGTGAATCAGTGGAGGCTAAATCGGCTTCTAAGCAGATTTTCACCTTTGTGATGTCTCCATTAATAGGATCAGAAGAACGGAACTCAGAAACAAGCTGACCACCGAATTTACTGCTAGGAGCAAGGAGCTAGTGAGTGCCCTTTGCGGAGTTGATTAGGATCTTGATTACAGCAAATGCATGGTCTTTCAAGCATGAAGAGTAACTACACTATCTCATTATAAGTAGATGCTCCCCGAAGGCAGGGGAATCTCACATTTCTTTATGCTTTGCACTCATAGAATTTGAATTAGTGGTAGGCATTTGGTAAACATAATTTTTTTTTTGAGACGGAATCTCGCTCTATTGTCCAGGCTGGAGCAACTCTCGGCTCACTGTAACCTCCGTCTCCCATGTTCAAGTGATTCTCCTGCCTCAGCCTCCTGAGTAGCTGGGATTACAGGTGCATGCCACCATGCCAGGTTAATTTTTGTATTTTTAGTAGAGATGGGGTTTTGCCATGTTGACCAGGCTGGTCTTGACCTCCTGACCTCAGGTGATAAAAAAGTGTTTGGACTAACCTTCAAATAATAATTGAGAGTGTGATAAGTCTTTATAATAATTAGATTACTGTGTTGCTTATTTGAAATATTATTTTGTGTTTTGGAAGTTTGCCACTATACTTTTTGAATTTCTTGAAATTGACCCACTGCTGGGAAGTACCCGTTGAAGAAAAAGCATAAAAAAAAAGGTGTGCTGATTATCTCCTACCTTCTCTGGGATCTACGTTTTTAAATGTGTAAATAATTTTTAATCTCAATGTGCATTTCTCATCTGTTACTAATGTGTTAGTTCTGACTGAATAATAATATATTTACTTAATAACATTAAATTTCCTAAATATATTTTTCTTTGAAATAGATACATTATTTCAAATTTAATCATGACTCAAGTTTTAAAGTTTTGTCTTAAAGGAAACAATCAATATTCAATATTTTCTATTCAGTCCTTTAAATAAAATATCACCCTATATATATTAACTCCAACCTTTTCACTCTGCAGGCATGCATAACACCTCATTGTTTGTGGGGTCTCTGTAACACGTAGACCTATATGGATGTGTCTCCAGGAATTTATCTGCATAAAGAATGGAAGGCTCTTCTAGGAAAACACTCTTCAGAAAGCATGAGAAAGAGATTGCAATGTAGAATGGTTTGAAGATCATGAGCCAGTCTTCTGAGAGAATGGGCACTGGATTTGTGCGCATTGTGTCTTCCCTCAGATTCATCCTCAAACCCAGCTCTTGACAAATACTGGATCCTACATAGAGACAGGCTGTCTTCACAACATGAAAGGATGGCTTCATTAAAGGTCCTAGAGAGCCCTGTAAATGCAGAACAGTGGTGCTTTGAGACCCACTTGGCACCGTACAAAGTAGCTATGAGGGCAGAATTCTCCAGGCATTAGTGGGAAATGAGTGTAATTTTGTTTTGTATTGCTTTAAAGGAATACCTGAGGCTGGGTAATTTATAAAGAAAAGAGGTTTATTTGGCTCACAGTTCTGCAGGCTGTACAGGAAGCATGGCGCCAGCATCTGCTTCTGGTGAGGGCCTCAGGAAGCTTCCAACCATGGTGGAAGGAAGAGGGGAGCTGCATGTACAGAGATCATGTGGCCAGAGAGGAGCTGAGATGGTGGGGAAGGCACCAGGCTCTTTTTAATCAATGAGCTCTCAGGGGAACCAATAGAGCAAGAACTCTCTCATCACGGCCAGGATGGCACCAAGCCATTCAAGAGGGATCCACCCCCATAACCTGAACATCTCCCACTAGGCCCCAACTTCAACCTTGGGGACACAATTTCAACATGAGGTTTAGGGGACAAACATCCAAACTATAGCAGGTTCCAAAGCTTTTAAAGCTTCAGTGATCCCAGCAAGCCTTGGGTGGCTGAAGGCTTCAGTTCATGAGTGGCAGCCCTTCTGTGTTCTTGAGAAGAGGGCAGGCTCTGGTGTGGTCTCAGGGGCTGATAGAGGAAACTCACCTGGTTTCAAGGGGGTGGAGGCCTCAGGTGTAGACAACACATTGTGGGGCAGAGCCAGAGAGAAGTCACCTGCAGGGTGCTGCTTTGTTGGTGAGATGTCATGCTTGTAAGCATGAAGATAACACCTCCCACCTCCATAAAACCCAGATATTTTGGGGGAGAGCTTTGCCCCCAAATGGAAGTTGATTTTTGATTATTTTAATTTTAAAACTATACTGAATAATATGGTTTGGCTGTGTCCCCACCCAAATCTCATCTGGAATTGTAGTTCCTATAATCCCCACATGTTATGGGAGGGACTCAGTGGAAGGTAATTGAATCAGGGTGCAGTTATTTCCATGCTGTTCTGGTGGTAGTGAGTGAGTTCTCATGAGATTTGATGGTTTTATAAGGGGCCTCCCCCTCTTCAATCTGCACGTCTCCTTGCTGCTGCCATGTGAAGAAGGACATGTTTGCTTCCACTTCTACCATGACTGTAAGTTTCCAGAGGCCTCTCCAGTCCTCTGGAACTGTGAGTCAATTAAACCTCTTTCCATTATAAATTACCCAGTCTCAGGTATTTCTTTATTAGCAGCGTGAGAACAGACTAATACACTGAGAGATCTGTATGTTAATATTGTCACCTGTGCTGTCTATCAAATGTTCTAAAATTGCAGACCTTGTAGTCTATTCCAAGCCATGCCATCAGTCAGTGAGATATTTCAAGACAATTTTTCTTTGATGTAATACTTTGGAAGAAATTATTTAGTGCTCCCTCAATAAACAAACAAAAATAAATAAATAAATAAATAAATAAAAATCAGTAGAAACTATGAAAACACCAGGAAAATGAAGCCCCTGGATGACAGTTGTGCCTCTGACATGTGATGGACCAGAGGAGTGAGCCAGGTACCTACGGAGAAGCCGATGGAATTGACTCAATAAAACAGAAGTGGAAAAATATTGGTGATGTCATCAATCAAACAGTCCCTTTTCCAAGTTCAACAAATGCTACAGAAACTTTATGATTACAATATAAAGGAAAAAACATCTCAAGAGAAATTTAGTTTATGTGAACAGGGACTAAGTGGGCACGGTTTTGAGAAAATGATGGATTTTCAAATGCTGGGAACATTTACCCTGGAGTTTGCAGGGTTCTTGACAAAGAATTCATGGACAAAGGAGTAATGGTCCCAGCATGGAACTAGACCCTGCGCTGAACGATACTCATGTAATTACCATACTGTCATGCACTCTTACATTTTTAATCGTTTAGACTTAAAAGATAAAACTAAAATGTATTATATTTGTTATCAATAAAACAATGCAAAATTAATATGAAAATGTATATAAATAATGTGTTTGACAATATGGGGACAAAATCATAATTGGCAGAAAAAAAGGTAATCAAAAAAAACCAACTAAGCCAAATCAAATTGAGGAAAAAGGGCTCAAAAATAACATAACTGAATTTAATTCTTATATTTTATAGCAAGATATCTATCTATCTATTTATTATCTATCTATCTATCTATAGTGGTATGTGTTCATTATTTACTGTTGGGAGAAAATTCTGGAGAAACAGAGTCAGAAACACTTGAAGTGTTTGCCCCAGCACAACAGCAAAGGGAATGAGGTGCTGTTCTGTTGCCTTCATAGCATTTTTTCTATATTATTATATTTTTTAGCACGATAACAAAAATAAAACATGACAACCTGTTGGTACAATCTGTTCCATGTTTTTTTTTTTTTTTTTAATGATCTTGGCTGTCCAGAAACAACAATAAGGAGACAGTTCCTTCATCACCCCGACTTTCCAGGCAATGAGTGTAGACGTGGAACCATGAAGAGAAACCTCCCAGCACCTGGACTTGGGGTGCCCGCACCAAGATGGGGACCATGCACCCTGTCTGACTGACTCTGCTCCGAGTAGGTCAGGGCCTGGGGCACCTCACTTCACTTTTCTGAGCCTGATTTATTCTTATTATGAATAAAACTCAGAGTTTAATGAGATTTGTGGTTTCCAAAATATTTTTGCATGCAGAAACATTTCTTTAAAAGGAATTATGAAGCCTACAGGCTGTTTTTCACTGATGCTGCTACCCACCACAGTGATGAGCGCAAGCCTTACAATAAAAGTAATTGTTAAATTTAATTTAGCTCATGGTTTATGTAAATATTACATCTTTTTTTATGTACAGGTCATTTTCTTATTGAACATTATAATAAATAGTAAACAAAAGGTTTTACAGAAATTGCTAGTGTACCTGGGAAGCTTTGTTCAGATAGAGGGTTTTTTTTCCTTCCTATAAGTGATTCAACTGCTGAAAAAACTAGCTGCAAATTTATTGAAGACATGTTTTAAATAGCATCACATAAAAGGCATGATGGACATCAGACTTGGTAACTGTCATTAAAATTGTTGTTCATATATTTATTTTCTAAAGTGTGTATATTTTTATTAAAATGTAGATTATTAATTTCACCTGTGTAGGTCATATTCATCTGAATTATTAAGCTATATATAGTTTAATTCAGCTATGGACTGTTATACTGGATCTTACTAATAGCCAGTTAATAGGAGAACGTGAAAATTCCATTACAAAGAAGTTAATGAGAA
The DNA here is from genome assembly GCF_000001405.40 of Homo sapiens. NCBI lineage: Eukaryota > Metazoa > Chordata > Mammalia > Primates > Hominidae > Homo > Homo sapiens. Next base: position 2,603,429 of record NC_000010.11, on the reverse strand, counting down.
AGTGAGAATTCTGCTACAGAGATAGCTCTGAATGTTTGGAAGCACTGAATAGCTGTAATGACTTTACTTTATTCTTCAAGTGTAGGAAATTATCTCTCATGCATTCCTTCTTTTTTCTTTAAACAACAAATAAAACCAGTTACTCTTCAAACATCTTCGTATTCCAGGAACCCTCTATTTACCGTACATAAAGAACTGCTTTAGGTGATTATCCTGTTACTGTGACTGTATGTTTTCAAATCAAGCTACATATAATTAATAATAAATTACACACCTACAGTAGGTATGTTTTCTCACATGATGCACAACTGGTTTAAAGCTATTTTAAATTCTATGTTATATATATAATATGTATATATAATATATATATATTACTATCTTCAAAACTAAGTTGATAATGTACCACTTTAATTTCCTTAATTTCTGGCCTGTCATCATTTTGGTTTGTCTACCATTATCCCAGGAGTTTGCCTCTGTCTTTCCTTCTTGGTTTTGCACAGACTTTTTTCCTTTGTTTGAGTCATGTCTAATTTCTACCTCTGGATGACCTATCTAAATGGCAATGACATTCCTTACATAGCTGGATAAGCCTTCTTCCTGTACAATGTCAATTCTTCAAATAATCAACAGTAATTCCAAGTTGTAGAAAGCTGGTAGCTTTACCAAAGTTTGTTACCTTATGGAAGGGCAACCTCTGAAACATGTGGGCAGCAGAGAGATGGAAATTGATCTTCACTGTCGTCTTGGGTGTGAGATAAGTGAGTGGGAGGGTAGGAGCTCCTGGTTCAGCAGATGATGGTTTCTTAATCACCGATTTTGAAAGGTTGGAGCTCTTTATAATTTCACACCCTTGTCTCACCTCCCAACACATATGCCATTTACTACTTTCTCTGCTACCATAGGTTCAATTTTTTTCACTCATATCTGAATACTGATTACTTTTCTTCTAATGAGTGGGAATATTTAAGCAAGAATATGATATTATGCCAATTAAATTTTACTTTATTCTGTTGAAACCACTCTCACATAGAAAGAAAGAAGGAAGAAAGAAAGAAAGAAAGAAAGAAAGAAAGAAAGAAAGAAAGAAAGAAAGAAAGAAAGAAAGGAAAGAAAGAGAAAGAGAGAGGGAGGGAGGGAAGGAAGGAAGGAGGGAAGGAAGGAAGGAAGGAGGAAGGGAAGGAGGAAAGGAAGGAAGGAAGGAAGCAGGGAAGGAAGGAAGGAGGGAAGGAAGGAAGGAAGGAGGGAAGGAAGGAAGGAGGGAAGGAAGGAAGGAGGGAAGGAAGGAAGGAAGGAGGGAAGGAAGGAAGGAAGGAAGGAAGGAAACACAATAGCAAAAAGGTAACATCTGGTTACCTAACTTTCAGAATTTCCATCGTCACCTCATCAATTTTCTTCCCTAACTGAAGTTAAATAATTCAAAATTTCCCTCACTTTTATATTTTAAAACATTTCGCTACTCTCTTTATTACTCTGTCATCTTTGAAGGCATCATGAAATAAATAATACTTCCCCCTGGCTTTTGAACCAACCAGCATGAACCTGTGATGGAGAGAAAGCTTTACCATGTTCTAAATGTATTCAAAAGGGTTTATCAAATACCTTCTGGATGGACCACACTTCATGTGACTGGCACAAGAGTTAAATATGTATTCTGAACTGGTGCTGCCTGGAATTTTAGTATTTTACTCTCCTTAAGTGTATTCTTGTGAAATTCTAAAAATTATCCAGGGTAGTCTATACACATTTTCAATCTTTAACATAATCTCGTAAATAGAAGATGCACATATAAGTAACAATAAATGCTAATGCTGGGCGCCGTGGCTCACGCCTGTAATCCCAGCACTTTGGGAGGCTGAGGCAGGTGGATTACCTGAGGTCAGGAGTTTGAAACCAGCCTGGCCAACATAGTGAAACCCCATCACTACGAAAAATACAAAAAAATTAGCTGGGCATGGTGGCGTGCATCTGTAACCCCAGCTACTCAGGAGGCTGAGGCAGGAGAATCGCTTGAACTCGGCAGGTGGAGGTTGCAGTGAGCCGAGATTGCACCATTGCACTCCAGTCTGGGTGACAGGGAAAGACTCTGTCTCTCAAAAATAAATAAATAACAATAAATAAATAAAATAAAATAAAATAAATGCTAATAAAAAGAGTAAATGATTTTCTTAGCCGAAGACAATGTCATCTTTTGGAAAAATGGCAAACTCTGAAAAGCAAAGAGGAGTGCACAGGACGAGGAGAAACTGTACACAAATATGGCATCATGTCTGGCTGTAGCCATGTGTAGAGATGATCAGAAGTCAGCACAGTGAAATTCTCTGGGGATTAGGTGGAGGCATCTCAAATGAGGTAAGTCCTAGGGGTCATTTTCGGTCAGTTATAACAGAGCAAAATGGGGCAGTACCCCAGAGAGAAAAATAGACGCCACCATTCCTAGATATCTTATCTTATTGCTGTATTTTTATATTGGGAGATGTCTTTCCATGTCATCTTTCTGCCAAAAATGCCTTAAACAGGTTTTATAGTATATCCGGATGTTGATAAGGCCGCCATAAAAATCACTCAGACTATCTCCAGCATGTTACACCCTCTCCCACCAGTTTGTTCTGATTGGAGATCAAAATCCATTGTCATTTGAAGTTGTGGTCTCTTCAAGGAAAATGTCCTATTTCTGTGGCTGCTTTCAATTTTTATTTCCCTTTTTTTGTTTTTGGTTTTCAGAAGTTTAATTATGATGTGTTTATCACGGGATCTGGGGGTTTATCCCCCCTGGGGTTCACTTAGCCTCTTGAATTGCAGGAGTATATGTTTCTCCAAATTGGAGATGGCTTCAGGCATTATTTTTTTCTAATACTTTTTAGTCTCCTTTTCTGTCAGAAATTCCCATTATATAAATGTTAGCTATCCTGTTACTTTTCTTTAAATTGACACAAAGGTCCTAGATACTGTTCATTTTTGTGGTCGTTGTTCTCCTTTCTCTGCCATGCAGCTTATTTGATAACTTATCTCAATGTGTCCTCAGAGTCGCTGATTCCATCTTTGTCGTCTCTGCTCTACTAGCGAGACCATCTAGTGAGGCAATTTTCTGCTTTTTAGGTTTTTTTGTTTGCTTTTTTCCTTTTAATTTTGGTTAATGTAACTTTCAGTTCTATATGATTTCATCGTGGGTTTTTCTGGTTATAATTTTTATGTTTTGCTGAGATTTTCTATCTTTTAGTGTATGTTAAGTAGACACATCTTCTGTTTTGGCAGGTGCTGCTCTCTGGAGGTGCAGGGGCAGGTCCTGTTGGGCGAGTGTGTGTAGCTTCCCACTGGGGCCCTGACACCTCCCTCCCATGGTGGGCCTTGACTCCTAGCATCTCCTTGCCAGGCATGAAACTCAGCCTCCCTCAGCCGGGTTGACTCCTTCCCAGGGAATGTGGGCAGAGACATGGTTGCCTCGAGTGGGTGGAGGCTCAGCCCCTCACTGTACCCTGCTGTGATCGGGGTGGTACAGTCAAGTGCAACCAGCCCTGCCTAGGGGTGTGGATGTTCGGAGTTCGCTGGACCCATCTGCAACCTGCTGCTATACCCACCTTGGTAGGGACTCAGAGCTCCCTGCCTTGCCCACCCCCCAGGTGTGACTGTGCTGCCACTACCTGCTGTAGCAAGCAGGGATGGCTGGGAGGCCCGCTCCCTGCTGGGCACCCTTGACACGGAGTCGGGTTGTTGCTCTGTTGCAGTCTGGCTGAAGCGGGCTGGGCATTGCCTTCCTTCGGGAGGTGGTCCTTTTCCCCGTGACCTGCCTGGGAGCAGGCTGTCCTTGAAGCTCTTTTGGTCCATGCCTGTTGAAAGTTCTGGGTGGAGGCTTCTGAAGCACCTTGTCCAGGATACGTGAGAAGCCCCCAGAAGCCCAGGGACCCATTGCAGCTGGTTCCTCAGCCCCAAGACCCCCGGGTGCCTCCTGCTTCCACCCTTCAGGGGCCCGCATGTGTGCTGTGCTGGTGCTTGTCCTGTGTGTATGGAGGGCCCAACAGGAGTGGGGCTGCTCCATCTTGGCTGCAAACCAAAGTCAGCTGATTTTACCTGTAGTCATGATTTACATGGAGATACCATAGTCAAAAAAAGTGTTTTCTCCTCAGATTTCCTATCAATACAATTAAAATGAAATAAAAATAAATGTCACACTAGAGAAAGGGATTTCTCTAGAGAAGGGCATTTCTCTAGTGGGAAATAGGGAAGCTGATCTAGGGAAGGCTGAAAGAAGATTCAAAGAAGATCTGATGTGCAACTGGGCTCCTTTTGACATGTAATTTTGTTTTTACACTATATTTTCAATGTCATACTTTTAAATCTGAAAATCTTATTCTGTGAAAATCATCTCTTCTTTTATTTCGACCTTTATTAAAATGAGGCAGCAATCTATTGCTTAAAAGATAGTTAAAGAGCATCAAATAACCCTAAATAACCCAATTTTTGTGCCTTCTCTGAGAACCTACGAGATAAGACAGCTCATGTAAATACTCAGCTATCAATTGTGTAGGCTCCCTGGGAAAGCCCCTGTCCCCATGCTGACCATGGTCTCTAGGAAGGTCCTGATTTTGGCTCCATGGAGCCAAGTCTTCATGGACCACTGTGGGCTGCCATGTCATGTTTTACCTAGAAGTCATGAAAATAGATCGACATACATAAAAATGTGGCTGGTGCTATTATTTCTCAGTGTAATCTGAGCTGCAGATCTCCAGTTCAGATTTGAAAGAGCAATTCCTCTTGTGATTATTCTGAATTCCTTTAAATCATTGTTCTCGAAGAACCAGTGATGGGTAGGAGGAACTTCAACGTGAAAACACACATAGAAGCTAAATTAGACAAACATTTGTATTTTAGAATTGAAGATGATTTACGTAGAATTGCAGCTTCAAATATAGATAATACAGAAATGGCTTCTAGATGCTATTTTCCGTTAAATAATGACAATTTCTTCCTACCTTTGAATGGGAAAAACATATATATGCTGATAATATTTAAAAAGACAATATGCTTTATCACCAATGAAATAAAGAGTATGCTTATATTAAAATAGTTCCTCTACCACACAAATATAGCATTTCCCAATAATTTATTTTATGCCACTAAAAACTATTTTTTTTAGATTAAAAGCATTCTACAATTCAAAATTGAAACTTACTGTTTGATACAATGCTTTTTTCATCAACTTTTAAAAATAGCTCTTAAAAAGCAACTTTGACATACGTTCTCAAGTCAATAAAGGAATTTTTTTCTTCTCCTTTTATTTGTGTTCAGAGATTATGTCCTGAATTAAACAATCTTAGTTAATTCGAATGCAAATAATCCCTATTTCATGTGTCTCTTTCAGCTGTTGTTACGTGTTTGGAATCTAGCTTCTCACACTAAAGAAGGCCTGTCGTAGTGTTCATTTTAGCTGTTCTTCATGCTCTGTTCAATCTTTTCCTGAGCAGGTTCATCCCAGGATACTGTGCAATTCAGTTCAGCAAGTATTTACTGAACAGAGATGCACCACTGTGAGGGGTACGGAACTGAGGACTGTCTTCAGAAACGCTAGGGGAATACTGGGGACATGCACACTAAATCTGACTTGATATTAGAGAGCTTTTGGAGAAAGTTTAAAATTGAGCTGGGCTTTGAAGGATGGCTGGAGTTGAGGTAAATGGAAGTGCAAATCAGTGTATTCAAGATAGAAGGTAATACAGGAGAAAGACAAAGTGTGGTAAATCCTGGATCAAAAATCATTTTCAGTGGAATAGAGATGAATAGCAAGTAGTCTCAAAATACAAGCTTGTGAGGTTGAGCCTGTGTACAGACGACTTCAAATAGAAGAATAATGACTCTGTAATTTATTTAATGGACACTGAAGAATTATGTAAGCTTTGTGAAAGATAGAAACAGATGTTATTTCAAAGTATCATCTGAGACATGTTTTAAATAAAACCACAGTGATTATTGGGCACTGACTCAGCTCTCACCCACACCAACAATAGAAAACCAGAAATGCTAGTCAAATTCAAGATCATGTCTTTCAAACTGTAAGTAGATAACTAGAAATCAGTAAAATGAAAAACAATAAGAAGTGACTATTTTAAGCATTTTACTTTTACAAAAGAAATATTTCAAAATCAATTTGTTAATTTCTGCCAAAAAAAATTCTTTTAGGATTTTTATTGGAATTGCCTTGGGTTTACGGATCAACTCAGGGAGAACTGAATTGTTAATAACGTGAATTTTCTCAATTAATGAATGGTTAATCTATTAATTTAGGTCTTTTAAAAGTACTTTCATAAATACTTTATGGTTTTCCAAATGCGAATCCACAAATATTTTCTTAGAAACGACCCTCAATATTTTATGTTTTTAAATTATTATAAGTGTTATTCTTTACATTTTAATTTCCACTGATTCTTTGCTAACATATAGGAGTACATTATTTCTAAACATTGGCCTTGTATCCAGTGATTATTTATATTCATCGAGATTTTTATATGGGTGATCATGTGTTCTGCAAATAAGAACAATTTTAAAACATTTTAAATCTATATTCCTATTTTTAATTTTAGTCTTATTACGTTGACTAAAAGCACCTGTACGATGTTGAATAGAAACCGTGAGAGCAGGAATGTGCGTTTTCTCCGTCTTTCAGGGGAAAGCATTCGGTCCTTCCCCGTTAGGGACGATGGTAGCTGCTGGTTTCTCATGGATGCAGGGCAAGGGGCCAGTTTGTCTTTCTGGTATGTGGATGTTCACTTTCTCCAGAAACATTTGTTGGAAAGTTTATCCCCTTCCTACAGATTCATCTTGGTCTTATTGTTGAAAATGAAGTAACCCTGTATGCATGACTTTAAAATGAGTATTGATTTCAGCTTGTCAAGGAAATTTATCATTTCTGAAATAGTGCTTGTCTATTCCAATAATTCATTTGCATGCCCCTTTTGAAAATAATTTCTATAACTATGTTGACAGTCCCCATATGTTTATGCAACACTGTTTCCATTGGATCTCTGACATATTAACCCTCGGTTTTACAGTTCTGATTTCATAGTTCTAGCATCTGGGCCATTCCTACATATGTGTCTCCTGATTGATTTTTATCTTAAAAATTAGCAGCTTTTATTCTTTCTGTGTGTGGGAAGATCGCTTGATATTTAATTGAATTCTGGACATTGTGTATGAAAGAACAGTAAAAACTGTGGAAAATAGCCTTTGGGCCTAGAAGAGCGAGCCCCGCTTCCTATCAGGCCTTTAGTGGGAGGCAGGGCTGTGCCAATCCAATGGGCATTGTATTAGTCCATTTTCACACTGCTGTTCAAGTTGCTGGGCCCAGAGGTTTCCTACCAAGCCCTCAGGTCAGAGTAAATACCTGAGACTGGGTAATTTATAAAGAAAAAGAAGTTGAATATACTCGCGGTTCCATGTGGCTGGGGAGGCCTCACAATCATGGCGGAAGGCAAAAGGAACTCCTTCTTTTTCTTTTTTGAGACTGAGTCTCGCTCTGTCACCCAGGCTGGAGTGCAGCGGTGCGATCTCAGCTGACTGCAACCTCCTCCTTCCAGATCCAAGCAATTATCATGCCTCAGCCTCCCGAGTAGCTGGGATTATAGGCGTGCACCACCACGCATGGCTAATCTTTTGTATTTTTAGTAGAGATGGGGTTTCACCATGTTGGCAAGGCTGATCTCGAATTCCTGACCTCATGCAATCTGTCTGCCTTGGCCTCCCAAAGTGCTGGGATTACAGGTGTGAGCCACCACACCTGGCCGAAAGTCACGTCTTACATGGCGACAGGCAAGAGGGAGAATGAGACCAAGTGAAAGGGGATTCCCCTTATAAAACCAGCAGATCTGGTGAGACTTAGTCACTACCACGAGAAGAGTATGCGGGAAACTGCCGCCATGATTCAATTATCTCCCACCGGGTCCCTCTCACAATATGTGGGAATTATAGGAGCTACAATTCATGATGAGATTTGGGTGGGGACACAGTCAAACCACATGAGGCATTGAGCGGGAGCGGGGTTGGGTTTTACTGTTGCAGGCACTTCATCCTTGCAGGGCAGTCCTGTTACTCCCCCTGTGTGTGAGTGGCTCTCACCTCGTGCTCATCCTTGAGCCTGGGATGTGGAAAGGTTATTCTCATGCTTCCTCTTCTGCCTTCAGCTCACTGTGGTGGCTGTGCTGCCCACCATGGGGTCTGTCTGCACCCACTCCTGAGCTGTGTGTGCACTGGCCCATGCAGGAGCTGTCCCTGCTCTCCTGACACAGCCTTGGCCGCAGGTGGCCTCAAGCTCCTGGGTCTCAGGGCAGAGCCTCCTCAGCATCTCTGTCCCTTGTCCCATCACAGCCAGACTTCCACTGTGTCTGAGGCTGGTTGTGGGCAGCCTTGTTCCTTTGGCTGGGCTCAGAGGATTCGTTTTGTGTGGTGGTTGTCAGGAAAGTGAGGAAAAGCTGGCTGGTGCCATGGTGGGCACTTGTTGGGATCCCATGAAGATGGCCTGTGCCCACGAGGAGCAGAGAGCAGCCACATCTGCCAGCCAGCCCAGAGGCTCCTGGCCGTAGCTGCCTTTACCATTCCCCAGGCTCTCAGCGAATTCTGCTCCATGGAAAGCTGTGGAGTGGTGCTGGTCTGAACCCACGGACAACGGGGAGGCCCAAGACCAGAGCGTGCTGAGGCTGGAGGTTCAGTCTTTCTTCTCCTCCAAGAGATCCGTCCTTCACTTCTGCTGCCCCCACATGGAACCTTTTCTGTTAAAGAAGCCAAAGTTTCCTCAAATATGACCATGGAGCATTTTGGATAAACATAAAGTGTGGCTGGAAAGTCAGAGTCCACAGGGCCCCTGAGCGTTGGCCCAAAGAGGTGGAAGAGGGCCACCCTCGGTGGCTCAGGCCTCTAATCCCAGCACTTTGGGAGGCCAAGGCAGGCAGATCACGAGGTCAGGAGATCGAGACCATCCTGGCTAACATGGTGAAACCCCGTCTCTACTAAAAATACAAAAAATTAGCCGGGCATGGTGATGGGCGCCTGTAATCCCAGCTACTCGGGAGGCTGAGGCAGGAGAATGGCGTGAACCAGGGAGGCGGAGCTTGCAGTGAGCAGAGATCGCGCCACTGCACTCCAGCCTGGGCTACAGAGCAAGACTCCGTCAAAAAAAAAAAAAAAAAAAAAAGGGGTGGAAGAGGTGCCCTGGCAGGAAAGTCACAGTGTAGGCATATGAGGCAGGAAATTCACATGGAAAATGCAAGGCACAGCACTGCCTATTGCTGTCCTCTGGTCATTTGTGTCTTTGCTGGCTGTGCTCCTGTGCTGAGACAATAGAACCCAGGATTGGGGAAGAAGGTGGATTTCTTGGAGGGAAGAGTTACCGTTCAGAGGTTGAGCCTTCACAATGGAGATCAGGAGTAAAAACAGAGTAAAAGATGTCATCTCTCTCTTTCTTCATCTGAAGAAGCTCAGGATATGTTTTTGCATGACAATGATTATTCTTCCACGATTTTGCAGAGTTCTCCTCCTGAACTCTGTCTATCTTTACCGGAGAATGAAACACTGTCGGTGAGTCTCTGTTGCCTGGAAATATCAGCCATGATCTGGGGAAATACTGGATATCCACATGTGTAATGACACGTTACTTCAAAACTGGAGATGAGGTCAGGATGCAGTTTTGTTAAAAACATAAGGTTACATGGACGCAGCAAAAAGTCCGGCAAGAAGCTAACAAATAGTGATGCTGTTGTTTGTACTTTCCGTACTTCGTGTATTTCCTACAGTGAATATGAATTACCTTTCTAATCAGAAAAACAAACAGCTGCAAAAGCAAGCTGACTGATCATCTCTGTGTTTTTACACCATGAGGTTTAAAGTGAGTTAATCTCATATTAGTCCTCATTGTTTATTAATGATGAATCACATTTATCTGATATCTCTTTCACAGGAACATGTTTGCATTTTTAAAAGGAATTTCTGCTGTCTCTCTTCTTAACCTAAGATCCTGGTTGAAATTTCAGTGTAAGAAGTGTTTGGCTCAATCGTCACATTTCTTTTTTTTTTTTTTTTTTTTTTACAGGACTTCTTTAAAGAACAGTAGTTATTATTCTCTCATTTGATGGTTATAGATTTGAAAGCACAAACAGCAGAAGCAGCATTGAAAATGAGATTTAGATTTTCCAACTTTTAGCTCCATCCTGCCAACTCTTAGGAGTGTCAGCCCTCATCAATTTTGTTATGATTTAAGAATCACAGAACAATCTAGCTGTCCCTTCCAACAAACATAATCCCCAAATGCCTGCAGTCTTTCTTTATCATTAGCTCTCCCCATTAAAGATGTAGACACTGTCAGTGTTTTCTGCTTAACACAGCCATCAACTGAGCAGGGAACTGAATGTGGCTGCCTTTATAAATCTGCCTGTCTAGATGTGGGCCTGGCTCTCATCCTTCTTCCTAAACTAGGAGCAATGCAGAGCTTGCTGCAACCTACAGAAGCAGGATCTGGAAGAAAGGGAGGGCAGACATATTAACTGCTGCCTACCTCTCTCCGTATCAGTGCTCTAGAGAAAACCCAAGCTGAACTTTAGCTCATTCTTAGGGCAGAATTCCCAGAATTACAGAAGCCGTGTGGAGAGGTAATTGAATATACTTAGATTTAGGTCTTAATTACCTTTTGGATGGGAGGTTATCTTTAGCATGGTATTTTGATAATACAGTTTGACCAATTATTTTCTGTGATCTCCCATCATGTTAAGGAAATACAGACTGTAATTTTGAGATAAGTGAGTCCTGTGGGTATAATGTTCTAAAAGTGTACCAGTGATGGCGGGTTTTAGTTATATTTTCACCGGTATTGAAGCACTCCCAGATGACTGGCTTTGAACAATGCCTTGCTCATCTTTTGCTTCTGTGTCTGTTGGATGTAAGAGACAGTCATGTGATGTGGGAGGATAGGGAAGGCTTTAGCACTTAACTGTATGAAAACTGTGCTTTAAAGCCTTTAGCACTTAAATTTATGGGAACTGTACTTGAAAACATTTTTTTAAGAAAAGAAAATTGAACTAATACCACCCATCTTTAGTTATACACACAGAGCATTAAGGTGGAAATAGAATGCATATAGAAGACATTCACAGGCTGGAAAAATACAAAAAAAATGCTCCTGCAAGCAAGCGTTAAAAGCCAAGGCTGCGCCCCGAAGTGCCCAGGTCTCCTGCCGCACTCCCCTCGGATGGTGAGAGTGTCCACCGTTACAGCTATGCGATGCATCAGACACCCAGTGTGTCCTTGCGAGGCTCAGCAGACCAGAAAGGAGGCCCACCCAGGCCTCAGAGAGTCCAGAACCATGTCTAGGACATTCTTTGGCCAGGCGAGAAACCTCTATCATGGGAACAATGCGGGAGAATTGTCACACTTCAGATGAAAGTAGAAACACAATCATGTTAGCCTGCTGACAGTTTCCAACACAGTGCTTCATGCGCTGGGCTGGTGAGGTCCAGGCCACATTCTCCTTTCCTCTGTCCCTGCAGTGCACCTTCCTACCTGACTCAGCACTCTCTGGTCACTGGGTTTGGCTGCTGGAGTCTATGATGCACCCTGTCAGGGTGGGAAGATCAAAGAGTCACGGTGTGAAGTCAGGTCCTGTGACCCAGCAGAGTGACAGTCTGGCACATACCCTTCCCTCAAGAAGTGAGTGGAGATTATATTAGTCCGTTCTCACACTGCTAAGACATACCTGAGACTGAGTCATATATAAAGAAGAGGTTTAATGGACTCAGTTCCACATGGCTGGGGAAGCCTCACAATCAAGGTGAAAGGTGAAGGAGGAGCAAAGGAAGGTCTTCCATGGCAGCAGGCAAGAGAGTGTGTGCAGGGGAACTGCCTTTTATAAAACCATCAGATCTCGTGAGACTCGCTCATTATCAAGAGAACAGCACAGTAAAGGCCCACCCCCATAATTCAATTACCTCCCACAGGGTTCCTCCCCCAACACATGGGGATTATGTGAGCTACAATTCAAGATGAGATTTGGGTGGGGACACAGCCAAACCAGATCAGAGGCGATGGCTTCTCACATGACCCTTGCTTCACCCTGAGCAGGGTCCCCTAAGGAGAAGTTGTGCCCTGATGGGGGCAGGTGCTCCACCTTCTGCAGGGGCGTACCTTGGCTTTCAGTGCTCCAGAAACGTCACCAGGGATTACATTTTATGGCACATTCAATGCACGGGTTTTGTGTAGTTTCATCTGTGATCTGATTCCCTTTCCTCTTTTAGTGATTTTGGGGAATGTTTACTGTCTCAGGTCCTCACCATGTTTGGGTTTCTTTGATAAGCGTAATGAAGCTTTACGTGTATGGGCCCTGAAATAACAAACTGTTGCCGAATCACGTTTCTTCCAGGATTGTTTCATTGGAAGGAGATTCTGTCACCTGTTCCATGATCTCCACGACTGGGTCTTGAGATGGGTGAGGTGAAGTAACTGGTGAGGGACAGCCTCCCATAAAAGGTGACTTTATGCTGAGTGTTGAAGGATGAGTAGAGGTTGGAAAGGTAAAGAAGGAAGCATCGGACATGGAAAATCCTCCAGTGAAAGGAAGAATATCTTGCAGTGAGTTCTGGAGGTGGGAGATGGTTCTGAAGTGGCATGTGAGTGTCAGATTCAGAAAGCTTTTCCCATCTCCTTAGGAATTGGCAGATGGTCCTGAAGAGGCATGCAAGGGTCAGATCCGGAAAGATTTTCCCACCTCCTTAGGAATTGGGAGATGGTTCTGAAGAGGTATACGAGGGTCAGATTCAGAAAGACTTGCCCGCCTCCTTAGGAATTGGGAGATGGTCCTGAAGAGGCATACGAGGGTCAGATCTGGAAAGATTTGCCTGCCTCATTAGGAATTGGGAGATGGTCCTGAAGAGGCATGCAAGGGTCAGATTCAGAAAGGTTTGCCTGCCTCCTTAGGAATTGGGAGATGGTCCTGAAGAGGCATACGAGGGTCAGATCCAGAAAGGTTTGCCCACCTCCTTAGGAATTTAGACTTCCACCTGAAGGCATGCATTCTGTATTGTAATTTGTTTCTTCAGTGTTCCTCTCTCCAACAAGATACAGAATTCCCTGAGAGGATGGGAGGTTTCTGCTTTATTTCTGTACTAATTGCAGGTAGTGGAGAGCTGGCACACATTAACTTGCCAGTTTTTCTGTTATTTAAACAAATATTTGTTGGATTCAAAGGGCTCAGCAATAAGATTATTAGTTCTTCATATAAACACTGTAAATATGGGGTGAACAAGAACTTGCAGGGGAATGGGTTTCCCCCAAACACTAATCTACAGTAGTTTTCAGAGATGTTGTAACAATCTAAAATTTGATGGGCAAACACTGAGATTTTAAGACAAAATCTATGTTAGGTTTTTGTGTTAGGTATTAAAATGTCTTTATTCATTGCTTTCACTTACTACCTATATAACTTATGTTACATTTCTGGAGAACATGAACCATAAAAGTTCTGATTGTTCTAAAATTTGCATTTTTCATTTGTTCATTTGCTCCAGGCACTATTGAGGTTCTATCAGCTCACTGCTTGACTATGATATGTGTGTACAAACTGAACATCTTCCTGGTGTGCAGCTGGAAAAACAACAGGCAGGGAATCCCCAAATGTAGTTTTCTTGTTGACTGATGTTAAAAAAATATGAGAGATAAACAAAAGTCAGAGTAAGCTGTATAAATCTGTTTTCATACCTTAGAATGTTCCATCTCAACCTAAAGAATCTTTAGAATTCCCATTCATCATACATTTATACCTTTTATAAAATATTTATTATATTTCATACAAGGCAAAATAACTTCAAGTTAAATTTATTTATTTGAAAAAAATTTATTACATACATCACAAAACCCCAGGTTACTTTAAAATCTAAATGGATAATGGAAATGAAACTGACTCAATATGGTTATTTTAACAGAACCATCTGTTCTTCTTTTACTATTTTTACCGTGTTTCCTCACTTAGAAATGTTTTCTGGGTTGGAAGAATGTTGTGCATCGGTTCATTTCACGATCTTGCTCCTGACTTCCATGCAATCACTGATGTGCTATTCCAGGTAAAGCGTATCCACCTCCACAAACACTGTCTGTGGGTGTAAAGCTTCTGGGCTTTGGTGATTATCAGACAATCCAATTTGGTCGTGAATCCACTGAGCTCACTGTTCATACAGAATGACTTTTCTTGCAAAATGAAAACTCTCCCAAAATTATGTTCATAAAAAAAATTTAGAATCCCCAGGACTTTCACTGGAAAGACCCCAAGAGATTATCTGTCAGTTGCCCCAATTAATCAAGGAATTCCCACAACAGCCTTAGGAAACCAGCTACTTCTAGACAATGACTTTGGGAGACACCCTGTTTATTTGTCAATAGTTTTAACTGTTCATCACAGGGTCTTAACTATTGACCAATGAATTTGATAATGTTACAAAAATGTGGTTTCTCCTTTAAAATTCACCAGAAGCAACAGAGAATATACTTGGCAGAACATAACTGTAGGAATTTAGTCCTTGGAATTAACTTTTTGCACAAGGTTATGCAAATAACTTCACAAAATGAAGCGTTTGCCTATGGGAAAAAGATGTCTTCATAGGAATTACTTGAAAGAAAAAGGGCTTCCAAGAGCAAGTTTTTCCATCTTCTTCCATTCTCCTCTTCCCTCCCCACAAATACACACACATCGCAGGGTGGGACCCAGATTTGAAATTATTTTCTCTTCTCTTGTTGTGTATTTACATATTGCCAACACTGTTCACACAAACAGTATGTAAAGAATTAAAAAGGACCAGGCGCAGTGGCTCACGCCTGTAATCCCAGCACTTTGGGAGGCTGAGGCAGGCGAATCACCTGAGGTCAGGAGTTTGAGACCAGCCTGGCCAACATGGTGAAACCTCATCTCTACTAAAAATATTAAAAAATTAGCCAGGCATGGTGGTGGGCTCCTGTAATCCCGGCTATTCCTGAGGCTGAGGCAGGAGAGTTGCTTGAACCAAGGAGACAGAGGTTGCAGCGAGCTGACACGGTGCCACTGCACTCCAGCCTGGGCGACAGAGTGAGACTGGCTCAAAACAACAACAACTACAACAACATCAGAAACAATACTTGCAGCTTATTGTCTGTGCTTTTCTTCAGTTTTTAATCAAGAGAGAAAGCTATTCATTTCTTCTAAGACTTCAAATCATGGCCATCATTCTCTACATTCTATGCAGAATATGAACACTGCAAGACTAAGAGTTTTAATATGAATTTGATATCCAAGAAAGCAGAAAATATAAAGTATTAAATAGAGGCAGGGAGATCAACAATTATAATATTCCAAATATACTGTGTGAATTTACACCAAGGTCTTGACTTAGGTCAAAATCTTTAAAGAAATTATGTATTTTAAGACATTTTATTTCAAATTAAGTTTTGAAAACACAAGGGAACATACAAGTGAAATTCTAAGAAATAATCAAGCATCACTTAAATATGACAATAATCCTGCTAGTATTGATTATGATGATCTCACCCACAGAGAGATTGCTGGGTTCTAGCTACTCCTCTATGGAGGAAATTTTGTGCTATAAAAAAATGAAGCTAACTATAAGTTACATAATCTTTTATTTACAAAGAGTTGTGGGTTTTTTTTGGCTTTGTAAAGTGTAGTTTGTTCAGGAAAGTAAATAACAAAGGTTTATCTTGTATTTTTAATGGTGAAGTGTCCATAATGTAGGGATGGTTCCAGGTATTTAAACCCTGATGGGTCTAAGGAGAATTAAATTATCCTTATGGATTACAGCCCAGAAAAATCATGCAAGGAGAAAAAACAGAAGAGGAGAAATAAACATGAGAATAGTCCTAGACAAAAGGAAAGAAGTGACCAGGCCTGGCACAGTGGCTGACGCCTGTAATCCCAGCACTTTGGGAGGCTGAGGTGGGTGGATCACTTGAGGTCAGGAGTTTGAGACCAGCCTGGCTAACATGGTGAAACCCTGTCTCTACTAAAAATAAAAAAATTAGCTGGGTGTGGTGGCATGCACCTGTAATCCCAGCTACTCAGGAGGCTGAGACAGGAGAATCACTTGAACCCAGGAGGCAGGTTGCAGTGAGCCGAGCTCATGCCACTGCACTCCAGCTTGGGCAAAAGAGCGGCACTCCATCTCAAAAAAAAATAAATAAATAAAAATAAAAATAAATAAAATAGAAGCGACCAAAGCTGGGGCTGTTCTTCAGGAAAACAATTTATCCAGAATAGTTTTTGTGTATTTTGGATGTCTCTTATTTTTCATTTAATAAAAGCTTATTTATCATATTAAATTGAGACAGTTTGGTTTTTATGATGAAGTGTTTACTAATGTGGGAAACATTTTCAACATGTGGGCTCCTCCATCATGGTCCACTTGAGTCTTCTGGAACATAATTTGGTACCCATAGGCCATCTATTCTTTTAAAAAAGCCATATAAACAAACTTTTCACTTTCTTTTAAACTTGCCATGAGAGTTTTTACTTAAGAACATGCTATTGTGTGGTTTAAAAAATCATTTTGTTCTGGTCAATTGTAATGGAATTTGTCTACAAAAATGTAGGCAAGTTGAAGTGGGATTGTTTCTGAAGGAAATTGCTGGATTTCTCTGCATCTATCATGAGCTTGATTCTCTTCTTTTATAGGAACCTTCATAGGAAAAAGCATATTTCACTACCCCCATCAGCTTTGCATTTCATGTGTGTGTCATAGTGTGACTGAGGTGACTGACTCCATAAATAGCATCAAGAGTACATAATGGAACGATTCTCTTCAATGCCAAAATTGTGTGGCTTGCAAAATTTCTAAGTCATTTTCTAGCTTGCTTATTGACCATCAAAGATAAAAGAACACTCAACTTAATGTTATTATGGATGTCTTTTACTTCATTTTATTTCTTCCACAGACTTTAAAGAATGTAGCCTTTTAAGTTTTGCATAGACGTGTATATACACACATATACACACATACATATACACATATAATATATGTAAAATCAATTTTAGATGGAAATCAGGATAGTTCAGACTTGGGACTTTAGCATCCCTGATAAACTTTTATAAAACAGAATCATATAGCCATTTCACGTCGACATAAGTAATGACAAGATAATTAGAATAGAAGTATCTAAAGGAGCTCCTTTTCTTTTGAATGGGAGAATTCTGAGTAGTAACTTACTAAAGCATTTGGCTAAGCATCTATATGTAGGTAGAAAAATCCATACATGGATATAGAATTATTAATAATACTGATTATAACTTATAAAAGCTGATACATATAGAGTATATATAATACGCCAAGCATTCCCAATGTCTCTTCAAAATGATCACCTAAGTCACACATCATTAAGTCCCCCTTAGAAATAAAGGTTGTGAGACTTAGGATGAGTAAGTCCAATGCTTTACTGTGTAGCTACTAAGTGGTATATCTGGGATTCCAACCATGGTGTGTTTAACTAGAAATCCCATATTCCTTTCTTGCTGATGAAGATAAGAAACCTTCTAGGTGGACTGTGGAAAAAGAGAAGCAATCTGAGATAGCAAGAATCTATTCCACAAAAGGGAATAGAACAAGGAGAGAAGGCACCACATTCCTAGTTTAATTCTCACTCCTTCTCAGGGGATGATATGACTCCTACCC